>NC_000014.9:37793531-38096561 GCF_000001405.40 Homo sapiens
GAGGTAGGGACCTAGGGCAGGTTCAATGTTGCCACTAGGTCATGTTAGTTCTTGACTCTGTCAGGGAAAGGATGGACAATACTCATAGTGTGTGGTTCTTTTGCTTAACCCTGTTGATGAAGGTAAGACCATCTGCGGAAGTTGGAGTTTCCTCTGAGCACATAGAGAAATGGAAACACTAGCATGATAGCAAGGTGTAAGGATATAGTCAAAGGCTGTTCTGAGAGACGAAAATCTCTGTGCAGTAATGATTGAATAATTTGTGGTGCATTCACATCATAGAATGTAACAGAGATGGAGACAAGAGTGAATAGAACTATGCTAGCTGACTTGGAAGGTTTTCCATGAGATATTTTTAAGTAAGAAAAGTAGGGCTCACAAAAGAGTGTGAAGTGTGTACAATACGATTCCATGTAAATAAAACAATTGTAAATAAACCCTTGTGTATGTATGTACAAGAATATATACTCCCATTATGTGGGTTCAGCCTCCAGGGTAAATCTAATCTAAGGCTACCTGGTAGTGGTCTAATGTCAGGGAAGCTTGTGAGATCTGCGAATGAGCCTCCATTTGTCTTAAGTCAGGATTTCCTCAATGCATAGACATGTATGGTTGGTAGAACAGGTATAGCAATGTGGACATATGACTATATGATTTATTAATTACACCATCCTGAATAGGGTTAGCTTAGGAAGCAGCAGGCATGAAGTTCCACAGAAATTTTCCAATTTGTTTAAACTAATCTCAAACTTCCTCCTTTTTTGTTTCCTCTTTTGAGTCCATCCACCATTTCCTCCAAACATTTATACCATCTCTACAGGTACTGCCTGCTTCCATGCACAAATTAGTTTTGTACATTTGCTTCTTTGCATCATTGTGCCGTAACAATAAAAGGATTGGTTGGTTGTCCCAGGTTAATTTTGCTCTGGTCTGTAGAGTGCTCTTTTGGTAATATTTTCAATGATAGTTGATTTTGTCCCAAAGTTGTACAAATTCAGTTTCTGCGACCAGTATTAAGGGAATAATTAATGTTTACTTTTCGTTACATATTGATGGTAAGCAGATTACTTTTTCATCATTTTTTTATTTTGTTATATTCATTCATTCATTTACTTAATTTTTGTGCAGGCCTGTTTTTCCTCCCTTATTTTTAAGTGGAATAGAGTTTTAGTTTTTATATTACCCTCCTTTGCATGCTACTTTATTTCTTAGTCTTTATTCCTATTATTGTTTTTGTCTAGATGGAGTCTCACTATGTTGACCAGGCTGGTCTTGACCTCCTGGCCTCATCAAGCGATTCTCCTATCTCAGCCTCCCAAAGCGCTCGAATTAGAGGCCTGAGACCAGCCTGCATGCTGCTTGATTAAGATGGATCAGGTTTGCTGAAAAAGTTGTTAGGGTTGAGGGAGAAAAACTGGAAACTAAATGATAAAAGAGAACACAAACACGTACACAATCCAGAATGTATTATATAATCACATTTATGTGAAATAGTATATGTAGATATGTATAATTATTATTTAAAATTAAAGATAGATGATTTTTAAAAACTAAGAATATATCATAAATTTTTCTTTTTACTTCTCTGTATCCCATTTGCTTTGTAGATTCTTAAGAAAAACATGTATGTTAGGAGATGTCCCTGCAAAATTTCTGTAGAAAGGGTGGGAGAGGATAAATATCAGAAAGGAAGCAATCGATGTTATTAGGAGCTAAATTTCTGTTTCTCACTCAACAGTTGCATAAATTGAAAAAGGCAGTAAATGAATTGTCTCGTGCTATCCACCTTCAGCCAGATGGAATCCAATTATACATAAGAAGGTATGAGCATAGAAACTGAATTCTTCTTGGGATAACTTAGCATCAGAGAAATTGAATGGGGATCTTCAGTTCCCTCTTGAACCTTTCAGGCTCCCCATTTTACATTTAATCTCCCAGCAATTGCCATTTCCCCACCAGCAAGCCAGTTTGTTAAACTTTGAGATAGTTTATTACATAAGATAACCAGATTTTTCCCTTTGCTCTACCCTTGCATCAAAATATACCTGTTTAGTGTTTATGTTCTTTGAGACCTTTTTAAGCGACTAGTCATATGGTTATCACATATCTCATAAGAGTAAGGTAACGTATTTTGAACAGTTGTTTTGATTATGTCCACAATCAAACATAAGCATGTGTACTAAACACAAACCTCTGCTAATTCAGTGAAAAGAAGTGACATACTGAATTGTATACCATTTCTACAGGTACTGCCTACTTCCATGCAGTATTTCAAATGCAGTAGAACTTTCTATAAAGATATCCTTTGCAAGTTATGAGTTATCACTATCAAAAATATAAACTTTTAAGGATTTATAGACCTGGGAAATGGAATGTGACAATGCTTTACTGATAAGGGCTTGCTTTGTCCTTGAACCACATTTTAGCAATTTATGTAGATACCTCCTTCCTTTTATATGCCTTGAACTTTATCTTTTAATAATTTCTCAGCAAAAAGTATAACATTTTAAATGCAGATAATTGCAAAAAGAGATTTGTGTATTTTTCTTTCAGTGTTACATTTCCTAAGTTTTCTCATCACATCACTATGCTAATTGATATATTTAGTTTATATAAAATGTCTATAATTTTCACTTTTTTATGCATACATAAGTAAATAAGAATGAATATATTGTAAAATTGTAAGTAACTGATTAGAAGAAACTTTATTTTAGAAAGTTAATTTTTAGCTGCTTAGAATCAAAATCGATTATTTCTTCCAGAGGACAATATCTTCTTATGATGAAATATTATGATCTTGCAAAGTTTACTATTTATCAAATAGCAGAAATGGACAAAGGTAAGTATAATTAATTATAACTTTTAAGAAATACTTCTTTAAAATTTTTATGCTATTTTGCAATAGTTATGTATAAATAGCATGAAGGATCCAATTGAAAGTCAAATTAGATTTTCAAACTTTAGTTTTATATGTACATTGCCAATTAGTAAAATGATTCATAGCAGTGAATTTTGTGAGAGAGAATTTTTATGGGAAATATTAAGCTTACAATTTTTCTATTTTTTGTCTGTAATTGGAATGTCTTGTTGGTTACTGGTAGTAAATAGATCTTACTATGATTTGTTAATTTTATAATTTATTGATTTGTTAATTCATATTATAAAGACAAATTATTGAATTACTCCCTTAGAATAATTATATTCAAAATCATTGATACTTGGCAAAGATATTGATAAACTTTCCTTCCCTTTTAGGTCTCAGTGAGTTGAGTCCTATGCAGCAAGCCCTTATTTATTCATTTTGTGAAAACCATGACAAGGCCATTGAGGTCTTGGACGGAATCAGCTGGAATAGAGCTGAGATGACCATGTGTGCTCTATTAGCAAAAGTTCAAATGAAGGCCAAGAGAACCAAGGTGAAAAGTCCTCTGAGTAATGTTTACTAAACCTATTAATGAAGTGTATATATTGTGCTTAGTATACCACTTTAAATATTTTTCACAAAATTAAGTCATACTATTTATTTTCTGTGAATTAACATTTGGGTTATTTTCTCTCTTTTTTGTGCCCCCTCTTAAGAACAGGGCTGCCCTAAATATTCTTTTTCATGTATTCAGTCAGCATGTGGAGTAGTTTTCCAGGTTATATTTCAAGGAGTGCAATTGGTGGTATGTAGAGAATGTGAATGTTTAACTTTCAAGGAAATGACGCGTTGTTTCATAGGGCGGTACCAATTTATTCTCCTACCTGAAGTGTAGGTGTATTCCTGTTCCTGTTGGTCTGCATCTTTTACAATAATTGATATTGTTAGGCTTTATTTTTGCCAATTTGGTGGATAAAAATTTATGTCTTGTGGTCTTAATTCACACTTCTCAGTTTGAGCATCAGGTTGAGAATCTTTTTATGTTTATCAGCCACTCATATTTTCTGTTCTATCAATTTGCTATACACATTTTTCATTTCTCTTGTTCTTACTGATTTTAGGCATTTAAGATATAAATTCTGTATACTAATCCTCGATTGTGTGCTGAGTATCTTCTTACAGTTTGTGCCTCGTCTTTTGTCTCTGTGGTGTCTTCTGATGAACAAAACTTCTAAAGTTTAATGTAGTAATATGTCTATTTAAAATAGAATATGTCTATTTTAAAATTTGTCATCAGGGCGTCTTAAAAAATACCTTGTTTAAAAAGCCCTTTTCTACTCCAAGGTCAAGATATTCTTCCCTATTTTCTTTGGAAAGTTTAAGTTTTCCTTTTTCCATTTAAGACCCTACTCTATCTTAAGATTATTCTTTTTTAGCATGAGAGAGTGATAAAATTTCAGTTTTCTCCATATGGGTATTTAAATGTTTCAGTATCCTTTATTGAAATGTTCTTCTTAACCCAAAAATCTGCAGTGCTACATCTATCTTATTACAAGTTTTCACATATGTGTGGATCATGTGCTATTTTAGATTCTCTGTTCTGTTCCTTTGGTCAATTTTTCTATTACTGGCCCAGCAGTACAATGTCTTAATTGCTATAACCTCATTGAAATTATTGATAACTGGTGGAGCAAGTCCCCACACCATATTCTTCTCTAGGAAGCTCCTGGTTAATCTTCAGCATTTACTCTGCCATATACATGTTAAATTTAGCTTGCCCAAGGTCCATTAAAAACTCTCTTGAGATTTTGAATCTTGAGATTGTTTTAGGGAGAATTGACATCTTTATGATATTGAATTCTTTAGTTTATGATCAGAATGATGTATTGCCCCATTTATTTCACTTTTTCTTTTGAATAGATTTTACATATCCATTGCTAAAAGTTTCCTAGTTTTCCAGTTTTTTTTCATAGTTTTTGCTACTATTATAAAGGGTATCTTTAAAAAAATTTGTTTGCTGATGGTTTATAGAAATGAAACTGATTTTGGAATACTTATCTACTGGCTGACCACCTTGCTGAACTTGCTTATTATTTCTTAAAATGTTTAGTTCTGTTCTTTTGGGTTTATAACTAGGAAAATATGTCATCTATAAATAATAATAGTTTTATTTTTTTCTTTCTTTTTATGTATTCTGTTTCTTATTCTTGTCTAACTGTGCTGGCTAGAAACTCCAAGACAATACTGACTAAAACTAGTGACAAAGACACCCTTATTTTCTTCCAAATTTTAAAGGAAGTTTACCCTACTAAGAATGAAGTTTGGGATTGATTTTTGTAGATAATTTAAACAAAATAAAGATTACATAATCTTTCTATTTCCATTTTGAATTTTATCAAATAATTTTTCATCAGGTATTGAAATTATTATGTTTTTATCCTTTAATATGTTAATGTAGCAGATTATATGTCACATATGAAATTAAGTAATCTATGACATTATTTAGTGTTAGACCAACCATGCATTCCTGGGTTAAACCAACTTGATCAGAATATATAATCTTTTTGTAGACATTGCTAAATTTGAGTTGCTTGTGAGGATCTTTGTGTCTATATTTATGAGTGAGATTGGTTTTGTGGGATTTGAGTATTGATCTCATAGGATTATTTGGAGAGTATTTCTTCTTTTCTATTTAGTGAATGAGTTTGTCTAAAGATTGTAAGGATGTCTTCTTTGAAAGATTATTTAATGCTTTAATATCTAGTACATGGCACACATTTAATAAACATTAGCCGTTATTATTCCTATTTTTTCTCCCTGGGCATTTTAAGACTTTTTATCAGCTTCATTCCATAAGCATTTAATCATGAGAAACTACCTTTAGTATAAAAACTAAAAAAACTTTATTTTTGCTCTCTTGACCTCACCAATTATTGGCTTTTTTCTCTTTACTCTGGCACAACCAAATCTTGGAAAATTGTTTATAGTCCTTATCTTCATTTCCTCACTTTCCACTCATTCTGCTGCTCACCACAATCTGGCTCCTTTCCTCTTGTGATGGACACATGATAAGGTGACCCTCAACAAGTTATGCCCTTGTGTGACCTTGAGTGTGAGTGGAACCTATGTCTCACTTCTAACCAACAGAGTATGGGAAAGATGATGGGATGTCACTCCCATGATTATATTAGGTTATGTAGTAGACTGGAGAGAGAAATTCCCTTCCTGGCCTTAAAAAAGCAAAGAATTATACTATGAACTGCTTGTGGAGAGGGTATCATGGTAGGGAACTGCTGTGGCCTTGAGGACCTCAGGACAATCTTCAGCCAATAGCCAGTAAGAAGCCTGGGCCCTCAGTCATGCAGCCATAAGGAAACGAAACCCACCAACAATCAGAATGAGCTTAAAAGAAGAAGAGAAAAGAAGTTTTCAGATGAGAATGTAGCACAGTTGACACCTTGACTGAAGCCTGGGAAACCCTAAGCAGAGGACTCAGCTAAGCTATGCGCAGGCTCCTGGCCCCTCACCTCTGCTTGTTCGTCAACAATATTCTAAACTATCTCCTGTGAGATAAGAAATGTGTGTTGTTTTAAAGCATTAAGTTTGTGGCATTTTTTATTTTTTGCAGCAACAAGAAAATAATACAGATGCAGTGTTGCTGTAACAAATACCTGCAAATGTAGGAGCAGCTTTAGAACAAAGCAGTGGGCAGAGGCTGAAAGAATTTTGAGGAACATGACAGAAAAAGCTTCAATCACCTCAAACAGACTCTTAGTAGATACCTGGTTTTTAAAGACACTAGCATTGAGGACTCTGAGGCAAATGAGCAACATGTTATTATTTTTATTTAGTGGTTCAAAGCTTAGTAAAATTTTCTCATTTAGTTGTATGGAAAGAAGAACTAATAATTCAGGAGCCTGGATATACAGCTAAGATAATTTCCAAGCAAGGTGTTGACAGTGCTGCCAGCTTTCTTTTTGCTTCTAATAGTAAAGTGTGAGAAAGGAGAGATAAGTTAAGAACTGTTAAACAAAGTCAACCAGGACTTGCTTATGAGGAAAATTTTCAACTTCTCCAGATGGCAAAAGAGGACAAAATTCAGTCAAGAGAAAAGGACAAGGTGTGGCCGGACAACACTTTGCTAAGAACTTAGAAGGATCATGAGGGCAGAGTATTCAGTCACACTAGTTCTTTTTCCTTTCAAGAGATTAAGGGCAAAACTTACAAATCTTCTTAACCAAACCAGAGGATCTCCAGAAGCTTAAGGGCATTGTCCCTCAGGCATCTCAGCAGTAGGCCGAAGTAGACAAGGAATTTTCTTGAAAAAATTAGTGGATGTGGCTTTTGTCTAATGAAGTGAATCCCTGTGAAATCCATGGAAGATCTCCAAAGTTTTTAGGAGAATTATTTATTTATAAACACTGACAATTTGGACTTAGACAGAGAGAGTACAAAACGAAAGAAGGCTGTCAGACCTCAAAATCATTCTGGCAGGAAGTAGGTTAATAAAACAACTCAGCTGCAAACACGTACAACCTTTCATAAAAAAGGAAAAAGGACCCAGAAGGCAAGACTAGGAACCCACAGGATGACACTAAGTGCCATAAATGTTTTGAAACCTAATCAAGAGACTGAGCATTTGCCCAAATGTATTTCAGAACTGCCATGGACCAGTGGCTCATTTTAATCTTCCATTTTCCCCTTTTTAAACCAGAATATCTGTGGATATTATTCTATGCCTGTCACCCATTGTATGTTGGGTGTTTTGGGGACAGATAACTTGTCTCTTTAATTTCACAAGTCCACAGATGGAGAGGAATTGTGTCCCAAGAGTGGGAGCTGGTGGATTTTACTTAAATGCCTCATCCAGACTTGGACCTGCTTTAAATGATGAAATTTTAGATGTTGAGCTGATGCAATAATGAGCTGAGACTTTGGGGGACCTTGGAATGGAGGAATATATTTTGCGTGTGGCAAGAATGTTGAATTACTGGGGGCCAGATCATTAGAGTCATCTGGTAGACACACTCTAAGATTATTCTTAATCATACCCTATGTTATCTCCTCCCCTTCCTTGAGTGTGTGCAGGACCTGTGACTTGCTTCCAACCAATAGAATATGGCAAAATTGGTGGGGTGTCGCTCCCTCAATTATGTTGCAGTATATAAGACCTCCTTCTTAGCAGAGTAAAGAGAGAGAGGTTCTCCTGCTGGCCTTGTTGTGACTTCTTATGGAGAGAGTGATGTGGTGAGGAACTGTGGGCAGCTGGGACCTGAGTGCAGCCAACAGCCAGCAAGCTGGTATCTCATTGTGGTTTTTATTTGCATCACACCAGTCAGAATGGTGATTATTAAAAAGTAAAGAAACAACAGATGCTGGTGAGGTTGCAGAGAAATAGGAACGCTTTTATACATTTCAACCATTGTGTAAGACGGTTTGGCGATTCCTCAAAGACCTAGAGGCAGAAATGCCATTTGACCCAGCAATCTCATTACTGAGTATATATTCCAAAGGAATATAAATCATTCTGTTACAAAGATACATGCATGTGTATGTTCATTGCAGCACTATTCACAATAGCAAAGATACGGAATCAACTCAAATGCCCATCAATGATAGAGCGGATAAAGAAAATGTGGTACATACACACGATGGAATATTATGCAGCATAAAAAGTAATGAGATCATGTCCTTTGCAGGGACGTGGATGGAGCTGGAAGCCATTATCCTCAGCAAACTAATGCAGAAACAGAAAACCAAGCCCTGCATGTTATAAATGGGAGCTGAACAATGAGAACACATGGACACAAGGAGGGGAACAACACACACTGGGGCCTGTAGGAAAAAGGGTGCGGGGAGACAGAGCATTAGGAAAAACAGCTAATGCGTGCTGGGCTTAATACTTAGGTGGTGGGTTGGTAGGTGCAGCAAACCACCATGGCACGTGTTTACCTTTGTAACAAACCTGTATATCCTGCATATGTACCCTGGTACTTAAAATAAAATAAAAAAAAAATGAAACTGGGGCTGTCAGTCCTGGAGTCTCAAGGAAATGAAGGCTGCTGACAACATGAATGAGCTTGGAAGCTAATTCTCCCAGCCAAGTTTCCAGAGGAGAATGTAGCTCAACCGACACATTGATAGCAGCTTTGTAGGACCCGGAGCAGAGGGCCCAGTTAAGCCATGCCCAATCTCCGGACCTGTGGAAAGTGTGAGATGATAAATGCATGTTACTATCATTTGCTAAATGTGTGGTAATTTGACCTGTAGCGATAGAAAAACGAATGCACCTCTGGTTTGGAATCAAGCACTCTTGCTAGCTTCATTGACTTTCTTTTTTCTCTTTTTTTTTTTTTTGAGATGGAGTCTTGCTCAGTCACCCAGCTGGAGTGCAGTGGCGCAATCTCAGCTCACTGCAACCTCTGCCTCCTGGGTTCAAGCAATTCTCCTGCCTCAGCCTCCTGACTAGCTGGGATTATAGGCACATACCACTATGCCCAGCTAATTTTTGTGTTTTTAGTAGAGATGGGGTTTCACCATGTTGGCCAGGCTGGTCTTGAACTCCTGACCTTAGGTGATCCACTTGCTTCTGCCTCCCAAAGTGCTGGAATTACAGGTGTAAGCCACTGTGCCCAGCCTTCATTGACTTTCTTATTGCAGATTCTGTGATCATTACTCAGTATGGATCATGTCTACTTTTTTCTTCACATTTGGAGATTTTGGTCTCTGTATTATTTGAGGACTGCTTTTTTATATTTGCTTTAATCTCCTCCTCCCAGCCTGTCCTCTGTGACTCTAGCTGGATACCTGATGTCACCATCAGCTACCCTCTTCCACCCAATCAATAGTGATGTTTTCTTGGTTCTGCTTTCTAGATACTTCTCAAATCCACTTTCTTTATTTCTGTGGTTATTATCCTGGTTTGGAGCATATAGTTAAAAAAATTTTTTTGAATTATATAGCTGCATTGTTGTACTCTTCCAAGCTTTTATCCACACAGCAGCCACAGTACTTTCTGCAGACTATAAAGATGACTTATCTGTAAGCCCCTGCAGATGTCCCTCAGATGACACCGTGGAGTAGTGAAAGAGAGAGAGATGGAGGAAGCAGGAGGAAGTGAAGACATGTTCATTTTAATTTAAATGGGTTGGAAGGCTTGAGTAGACAAGTTTTAATGGGCTCAAGGAGTCAGTAAAGGGGCAGAAATCCAAAGGAGGAAGGAAGTAACAGGCTGCTCAGGTGAGGCAGGAGAAGATGGGGTCAAGGACAGCTTTTGAGGAGTTAGCTCTGCAAGGAATGAGAAAGAAAGCAATTCAAAGACAGGAGAGAAAAAGGTGAAAGTGAATGAAGATATAGATTCATCGAAAAGTAGAAAGGGGGGAAATTGAGACAGTAATCCACTTTTTCTAGGCAAGGTCATGTGCTGAGAGTGAGGACAGAAGGAGGGATGTTGGGTGGCTTGCAAACATATACAGCTAATGCTCAATAGAACACTTAGCATATCCAAGTGAAACTTCATTTTTTCTTTAGCAATTTAAGACAATTAAGAAGATGGTATAACCAGTAACAAGTATTTGTCTTTCTATATACAGATATACAGTGGGTAGTTAAGTATTAAATGGCATTTCTATCTTTTTCATTAATGAGACATTTGACTTTTTCATTTAATGAGACTTTTTCATTCATGAAACTTTTGACTATTTTGAACTTTTTCATTAATGAGAGTTTGAACATTTTCATTAATGAGACTTTTGACTCTTTTGAATAAATAAATGGTTGAGTTTTGGAGGTAGTTTATTTTTTTGGTGCCAATAAAACCCTATTAGGAGGACAGCAGGACACAATAAAAAATGGATTAAAATTATGTCAGATATTATCAGTGGAGATCTTTTACTACCTAGTAGCTTCCCAGTATTCCATTCAGAGAAATTATTAGGAAATTGTCAATAAACTTGTTCATAAATTTAAGCCTGACTTAAGCTTGTGTATATAGCCTTTAGAATTCAGAAATTTTAGTTCCAAAAATCCATGTCCATAAGCCTGCTTAAGTACTGGCTTGTAGGATAGGCACCTGGGTGGGACTCATGAGGGTAAGACTTCTGAACTGGGTTCTCTTCTTGTAGTGTACTGACAAGACCTGTAACTTCACCAGGTCTGTTTGTCCCCAGATAAAGTAAGAGTAGAGGTGTGTGCTCTGTGCTCCTTTTAACATATAAGGCTGTAACGTTAAATCAATAGTGGAAAGAAACATTTCTTGCCCCCTCCCTGCTTTTTTATCATTATAGGAAGCTGTGGAAGTGCTTAAGAAGGCTTTGGATGCCATTTCTCATTCTGATAAAGGACCAGATGCCACAGCAATTTCAGCAGACTGTCTGTATAACTTGGGTCTTTGTTACATGGAGGAAGGCAATTTACAAATGGTATTTCGTGTATTTAGGAGTATAGATTATTTGTGATTTTAGAGACTGGTTGCTTGTATGCAATTCTGTTTCTGAAGGCCACCTATACAGTGGGCAACCGGTCCAAAGCTGCTTATGAAGCTTGGCTTGTTATAGTCATTCTGCACCCTGCAACACCTAGGACATTGTTTTATTTAATCAACATGTTTTATTTGATGCTTGTTTGTCAACAATATTCTAAAGATTAATATGCGTTTCCCACCAGAACAATAAATCTAACTGCAGGAAATTATTACAGTAAAATAATTTTATCACAGTAGTATGAGTTCACTTATTAAATTTTAAGTATTTTAAGTGCTTTAACATAATGTAGAATAAATGGAAAAGATTAGGGCTTTCTGGCTTTTGTTATTGATCATTGAACAATTCAAATCAGATTGAAACTGGTTGTTAAGATGGCCAGATTTACTGAAAAACAGTTGATTCAATTATTACATATTTATCCAGTCTTTGGTGATTTTAGGCAATTCTTTACTTCAGACTTGTCACTGATATGACAAATATGTAAAATAATTGATACTATCCAATGGCTAATGTTGGATATTCTACAACTCTATCTCAAGACACACACACACACACACACACACACACACACACACAAACACACACACATCATTCTAATTCTTACGTTCGTGGGGTGGACATTGTTTTAAACTGGTATTGGTATAAATGAAAAAAGAGGTGCACTTGATTAGTTGTTCTATTAAGAAATGCCAGTAAATATGAGACAAATTACAAATATTTTACATGTTTTTAGTCCTTTTGAACAACCAGAGCAAACTCAGCTTTGCTTTAAAATGCGGGGAAAAATTTTAGAGTTCTATTGTTCTGAAGTGTTTTTTTGTTTGTTTGTTTGTTTGTTTTTTGAGATGGAGTTTCGCTCTGTCGCCAGGGTGGAGTGCAGTGGCGCGATCTCGGCTCACTGCAACCTCTGCCTCCCAGTTTCAAGCGATTCTCCTGCCTCAGCCTCCCGAGTAGCTGGGATTACAGGCTCACGCCACCGCACCTGGCTAATTTTTGTAGTTTTTAGTAGAGATGGAGTTTCACCATGTTGGCCAGGATGGTCTTCATCTTTTCACCTCATGATCCGCCCGCCTTGGTCTCTCAAAGTGCTGGGATTACAGGAATGAGCCACCATGCCTGGCCTGTTCTGAAGTTTTATAATGATGCATTTGCTGGATCCTAATGAAAAATAAATGTGCTGGTTGTGATTTCTTTGAAGCAATGAAATCTGAAGAATAATTAAAATTATACCACCTGAAATATTGTAATCTAACAATATGGATTATGTAGACCTAGTCTGCCTTTAATTATAATAATCAACCCTACTTGTTTCTAAATATTAGTTTTGTTTGTTCCATGAGGTCCATTAGGAGAAATGTATTTAAAATAATCCAAAAATAGAGTGAAACTTTTCAACAATAATTATATACTGTAATTCGTTAACATTTTAAAACAATATATTATATCACTAAATGGTTTGCATTTTGACAATATGCTCCTGTAGGCTTTTGATTCTTTTACAAAAGCTGTGAAAGCAAATCCAGATTTTGCAGAAAGCTTTTATCAGCGAGGGCTTTGTAAAGTGAAACTCCACAAGGATAGCTCGATTCTGGATTTTAATCGTGCAATTACCCTCAATCCAAAACATTACCAGGTATTTAAACAGATGTTTTTAGTGAGTTGGAAAGTGTTAAGTTTGGTAAAACTATTAAATCTTTTATGTGCCATTGTTATTAATTACCAACAATCAGTTTCTTATACCTACTTTTCACTTAACTTTATTTTCATAATCCAAATAGCTGTATTTCTTCTTAAACTAAAAGTATTATTTCCATCAGTGATATTCTGATATATATAAACGTATCTGTGAATGTGATATATGTAAATATTAATGTGGCTATTAATAATTTAAAGTTTATATACTCATTAATTTTACTTACTTTTTGTTTTGATGTTACATAGATTCCTGCCTTTTAATAGACTATACAGGCAACACAAAATTCAGTAGGTGAAGCTTGATTGCATCTTGATTTTAGGAATCTGTGAAATTTGAATCTGGTCTAAGTGTTAAATTATTTTAGGAAATTTCTATAAGTTATCTTGGATATATAATGGCAGTGTGGTTATGTACGAGAATGTCTTTTTTTCACAGGAGATGCATACTGGAGGACTTGGGGTAAAGTATTACCATATCTACAACTTGTTTTCCAATAGTGCAGAAAAAAATAGATAAATATGGCAAAATGTTAATAATTATTAACTCCAGGTGATAGGTATTTATCATTCTTTCAATTATTCTGTGTCCTTTGAAATTTTTTTCTAATAAAAGAAAAATTTTAAAAAGACTATATTTTAATACCCTTTTTGGGAGGCATAGATTTGTTCCAAGTAGCATATATTTTGGTAGAATTGGTGCTTTTACTAAAGCATCCATTCCTGCTTTCTCTCTCTCTCTCTGAATAGGCATATTTAAGCCGAGTAGCATTCTATGGTTTAAAAGGCAGGTATTCCAAAGCAATCTTGAATTGTAACAAGGCTATTAAAATTTACCCTGAAAGCGTACGTGCCTATCTCTACAGAGGAGTTCTGAAATACTACAACAAGGTAGGGCCATTTCCTGCCTGGTTTACCGAAATTTTAGGGTGGGCAGATTCTCTTATGCTAGGCAGGGGACTCACTTACTTTTTTTCTATGTGGTTGGGAATCACTATGATATGAAGGGCAGAACTACATAGAAAACTTTACACTTTCCCAATTCATATTTTTTTCACAAAATAATGGTATTTATTTTTGACATTTACATTTTAAATAACATTTATTATTTATTTTTATTAAGAATGTAGCATATATTCATTGTAGACAGTTTGGAAAAATATGGAAGGGAATAAAGGATTATTATCTCACCATCAATGATAATTCCTGGGTGCATTTAGCATATTTGTATTCAGTCTTTTATTTTCCTCATAATATATGATATATATTTTCCAAAATTTGGACTATGGTATTTATATAACTTGTGTGGTGCCCTGCTTTTTACACTTAATCTTTGAAGATAATATTTTGCTGACTGCATAATATTCCATGACAATTTATTTTAAATTACTTTATTGTTGAACTTTTTGATTGTTTTTAAAATTTTTACTATTATACTATTTAATATAGTTATATACAACTGAGAACAAAATTGCTGCTTGGGTTTATGATTGGTTCTTAAACAGAAGTTACTGGGTTAAAAGGTGTGACTGGCACCATTGATATGTGATACTGCACTGAATACTTTATTTCTCTCTACTTTTCTTTTCTGATCTTTCTTTGTAGCTATTTTATATGAAATATTTTGCAAATAATACCTTAAAGCAAAGGTAAGACCTTGCATTATGTGTTAATTCTATGAAAATTACTATCTACAGAAATGGGTGATATAAGGTATCAGAGAAGAATCAAAGAGGAAGCAAAAGAGAACGTGGGTAGAAAACATGACGATTATGTGATATGGTAGTCAGAGTGACAGAAGCAAGCAAGCACTGGTGAATGTTTGCTGCATTAATATGGGTGGCTTTATTTTATTTTACCTAGAAGTATGATTTTCTCCTTGCCATATACCAACATTGGTAATAAGATATTTGCCTAAATTAAAGTTGTTGATATATTTAATTTTGTTTGCAGGTAAGAGAAACTATAATGATAATTTCTACCAGGAGATTTTCTTAATTAACTCTGTGAAAGATTAGCTTCAATGTCTTAATTTCACAGATGATACAAAGAATGGTTAAATGAGTGTTTCAAAAACTCTGATAGAAACAAGAATTTATTTTATGATTAAATTTCAGTCCATTATGATTTTCCTTTCTCACATAATTACTTTTTTCTTTTTAGACTTATAAGCTAGCAATTACAGATTTAACTACAGCTATCAGCATGGACAAAAATAGTTATACAGCATTTTATAACAGAGCATTATGTTACACCAAGATAAGGGAACTTCAAATGGTAAGATGACCATTTTAGTAAACAATGTGTTTAAAGTGTTTAATAAATAACATGCATTTAATAGCTTGTGGATTTCAATCAATAAATATTTAATAAACAATATGTTAAAGCATTTGTAAACTCATTTAAGGCATTTATAAAGTATTTTCTTATTACTTCTGCTACAATTTTCAAAAGGAATTCCTAGGAAATACACACATATAAAACTTAAGAAACCAAAGAACCATTTCAAAGAATATTTAATTTCTTTGTTGGTGCTCACCAAATTTTCTTATATAATTTCTGAAAGAAGTCAAATGAAAAATTAAGTTGATAATGCTTATAGAAGTATTTAAAGGCATTTATAAATTAAATACATTACATAATTATCAATTGAATAAATGTTTCTACCATATGCAGAATTTTTTTTTTTTTTTTTTTTTTTGAGACGGAGACTCACTCTGTTGCCCAGGCTGGAGCGCAGTGGCGTGATCTTGGCTCACTGCAACCTCCGCCTCCCGGGTTCACGCCATTCTCCCGCCTCAGCCTCCTAAGTAGCTGGGACTACAGGCACCCCCAATCATGCCCTGCTAATTTTTTGTATTTTTAGTAGAGACAGGGTTTCACCATGTTAGCCAGAATGGTCTCAATCTCCTGACCTCGTGATCCGCCTGCCTCGGCCTCCCAAAGTGCAGAATTTTTAAAGCAGTAGCAATCACTAGCAATATTGTGGTTTCAAAATTTTAATATTAGCTAGAGCAGTTTGTGTAGGCATTCTTTTGTTTGGTCCTCAGACCACACATGTAGCAGGGAGGATGGAGTGATGGTTTTCAGCTCCAGGGACCAGTGACCAGGTTTGGCCTATATTTTGAAGGCCTGTGGGCTGCAGCAAACCTTTTTTTCCATTTGTCTTGATCCAGCATCTACCTGTGCAAACTCTTGTTTATATTTTGTAATCTTACCTACTCTCTTCTCTCCTGTCGGTTTGGTCCCTTTTCAATGAGGATTCCTCACTGGGGAGCAGCTAGTCTTGCGGTCTTTCAGTGTAGTGTCCCATCCTCTTTCTCTGTTACTTGTCTCACTCTCCTTATTCCTGCCCATGTCCATAGTAAATGACGCATTCTTTTAAAAGGCTAGGTCACATTCCCGCTGTTCTGTGTTCACACACTCTCCATTCTGTGAAACGTGGACAGTGAAATCTGTTTAAAACATTTAGTAATTTAGAAATGTACAAGCTTTAGAAGGGAAGTTGAGAAACATTGTCTCTACCTGAGAGGATGTAAAATTCCTGGTAACCAGATTATCAGGTTTCCTCCAGAAATGTTGATAAATGAATAGCTAATTTTTAACAAGGGGATTGTTAAGATGCTAGGAGCTGATTGAAAGATCATTTATTAGAGTGACCTACACAACAGGGGCCTTTGAGGATTCCCTCCCCAACCCCATTCCTGCCGGAAAGGTAACCCTGAATAGGAAAACAATGGGCTGGGCGAGGAGGGAACACCCATTGTATTGTTATCTCAGATATGCGAAAGAGCCAGTGCCCTGTTAATTAAGAAAATGCAAAACTACCTAAATCAAGTAAAACTGAATTACGATAATAAAATATTGGTGATTTCAGAGCTGCCAGGACTCTGAAGCATTTCATCCAATCTGCTCACTTTACAGATGAGGAAATGGAAGTAGGGAGAGGTTTGAAAACCCATCCAAGTCACACAGAGAGAGTTAGTGACCTGTACTGGTGTCCACACATTTGTTTGCTTCTGGGTTAACAGTGTTTAGGTGGCTTTGTAAAACTGTCTGACCTCCAGCATGTGGACTGGATGTCATTAAGCAGTGTGTCCTCCTCCCTTGCTATCTCCCTCCACCTGTTTCTCAGCATTCCTGCCATCCCTAGCCTGAGAAAAACCAAGTAACTTTCTGCAGAAAATGCACTTAGGCATTCTCCCAAGATATAGTTTCATAAAAACTAAGGGAAGATCAATTCTGGTTCTAACACTTTATATTAATAAAAATACTGAACAGTTACCACTTATTTAGGGCTTATTGTGTGACAGGAACTGAGCTAAATGCTTCACTGACATACAATCAAAATATTTTTAAGCAGATCCTTACAACAATATGATGAATTTTTAACACCCCAATTTTGCAGATGAGGAAGCTAAGGCTTAGTGTTAAGTGATTTTCTCCAAATCAAGGGGCTAGTAATGATAACAGAGGCATGGCACAAATCCAGGAGAGGCCAAGGCCCTGACCCCTCCTCTTAATCAAAACCTGTGTGCTCCCATCCCTACCCCTTACCCTCGTTGACCTTTACGAAATCTTATTTCCCAGTTTTTATTTCCTCCTGTATTGCAGATTCAGCTGCTTAGTGGATCTCGAAGGCATCATACTGGTTTCACATAATGTGACTTAGTAAAAGAAAAATGTTAGACAATTTGTGGCTAATATTCTAGGTTTGGTTTTTTCTTTTTTGACAAATACTACTGATTTTTTTTATAGTCCTGGCAATTTTTATTTTTAATTATGCCACAACATACCTATAGGATCTTTAACTGCACATTTTTTAAAGACACTTGAGCACGCAACATTAGGAAACACCAGAGGAGGGCAAATGAGCAAATATAAAATGCTCTTTGTCATTTTCAGTTGGCAGATGCTACAGGCATAATAAGATTTAGCCCTTTTCTGATCAGACCATATGGCTCTTTTGGACAGAATGTTCAGTAGGAAAATGATTTAAGAGATTCAGCTCCAACCCAAGTTTAGGATGCTTCTAGTACCTGGTACAGAGTAGAAACCAGTAAAATCTTGTTTAGTCAGTGAATGTAAAAAAAACCAAAAAGGTAAAAGTAATGGAGAAGGGTCTGAGTTGATTCTCAGATTACACTATGTGTCTTTTAAAAAATGAATATATTTATCAAAATATTTTGAGATAGCTTTCCTACAAGTGCTTATTTGTTAGTTTTAAGATCTATTTTCATTGATTCATGATTTTTTCATTGGATACAAATTTATTGAATGCATGCTATGTGCAGGCTTGATTCTTGTTACTGGGCTTAAAACAGTGAACAAAATGGATAAGCTCTGGCCTCACAGAGCTTAGGAAAACAATACAACACTAAAAAGAAATTACATTTTTAATGGTAATCACAGCAACAGTCATTTGATGAAACTACCCAGTAGAGGCAGAATGCTAAGTCCCTCCCTTCCAGCCCGTACACCAGTGAAAATGTATAGGGTGACTTGTAGGTAAAACATGAAATGCAAGCACAGTGTGCACTGCTTATTGGAAAGTATCAAGGTCCATCATACATTTTACCTAAGGGTACCCTTTAAATCTAACATATGATTATTTTGGCCATAAATTATAAAACAAATTGAAGAACTAACCATTGGGTCCTAGTTTGGACATAAATACGTTTGTCCATAGCCAATGAATTCAGGCTCTAAAAAGTTGAATCTATGTTACAAATGATTATTTTTAGGCATTAACAGATTATGGAATTGTGCTGCTTCTTGATGCTACAGAAACTGTAAAACTAAATACCTTCCTTAATCGTGGACTCATCTACGTAGAACTAGGCCAGTATGGCTTTGCACTAGAGGTAAGCCTTCCTGTTGTGTAACCCACTTGATTTTGCACATTGACTTCTGAGAACTAGTGAACAAGATTTTATTATTATCAACTGGCAATATTAATGAGTGGTAGCTCAACTTTAGCAAGAATTCTATTAAAATACTTGAAATGACTAATAGGCTCTTTGAAAAAATGTATATTTTTGCTTTGTTTGGATTACAGATAAACAGCCAATACATTTTTAAACATTTCTAATTTGATCAAGACCATCACTTCTCTTAAGGGAGTACAGACAAAACTCAAGTTACTTAGTAAATAAAATGATTCCTGTAATGTGTACTCTGCTGTTTAGTGGTAACTTTCTCAAAATTTTCCTCTTTTCCCTTTGCAAATATAGCAAAATAAATCTGTTTCAAACAGGGCAGGAAATAGTTACTCAGAATGGGTTACTGGTAACAGGCTTTAAAGTGAGTGGTGACAGGCATTTAGAATCATACTAGAAAAAAGTATAGGCAAGGTTTTCAAAAGAAACGGGTAGTTTAAAATGTATTTCATTAAAGAATAATTAAATAAAATTCATCATTCTCATTTTTAACTTTTTATTTTTATTGTCTTTTTGTAACTCTTGGATTAAGAAACAGAAGGTAAAAATTAAATAGCAATTAGAGATATATAGTTAAATAATAACAGTTTTGCTTCTTTGTTTCTGAGGAACTGCAACGTAACATTATGGAGTGGAGTGCATCCTGTTCTTTTCACCTCCCAAGATGATTATTTTTCTATTTCTGGAGTCATTTTTTTGAGATTCTGTCCAAATAATCATTTACCTTTGAGGAAGTTTACACTATGAATAAATGTAATCCCAATGTTTGAATACCTTTAAGCTTTTTGATATATTAAAAATATTTTTGAGCTGTATCACTAGGTATAACCTCAGGTAGATGGAAGTAAAGAACCTCCCTGTTTGTAGTAGGCAAGAAAACGATGGGCAACAGTGTTGAGGTGGAGAGAGTGAGATAGTGGAGGTGGGGAACAAGGGACTGCAGCTGTTAGAGAATTAAATGCAAAGCCCATGTTATTCTCTGAATAAAGATTTATTTAGTACTAAGCAACCACTAAACAACTATTGCACAGTTGCTACACACCGGGTCCTCAACAATGCTGCCGAATTTATAATTGTAACTTACAGAGGAAGAAACTGGTATTCAAAAGAGGTTAAATAAGGTCTTTCCACAGTAAGTACTGGGGTAAGATCTGAACTCAGAACTCACTCGATTCCAAATTCTGTCTTCTTTCAGGCAAAGCGCTGGCGTTAATATATGGAGATAAATGAGACAGAGTTCCAGTCTTTGAGGAGCTGATGGTCTAGGGAGAGTCATTCTTGTCCCCTCTTTCCTCACACCCCACATCTGACCCATTAGCAAGTCCAGTCAGCTCTACCACTAAAGCATATTTTGAATTAAATCATTTCTCATAATTGCCACTGCTATCTTCCTTTCAACCAGTAAGTACTGGGGCAAGAGCAGAGCTCAGGTTTCAGAACTGAATCATCTCTCTCCTGGACTACTGTAGTAGCTTTCCAACTGGCTTAAGGTTCCACTCTTGCCCCTCTACATGCTATTCTCTAAACAGATGCTAGAGAAATCTCTTAAAAATATAAACTAGATCAAGTTATTCCTTTGCTCAAAACCCTCTGATGGCTTCCCATCACACTTAGAATAAAATCTGAACTCTTGACTGTGGCTGAGCAAGACCTTACTTGATATGACTGCTGCTCACCTCTGATCTCATTGTCAAACATTCTCTTCTCTCCACTAGTCATGCCACCCTGGCCTTTTCTTATTCCTTGGAAATGCTGGGCTCCCTTGCTGCCCCAGGACCTTTACACAAGCGAGTCCCTATGCGTACAGCACTCTTCCTCCTGATCTGTGTATGATTCATGCCCTTGTTTCATTTAGGTTTCTGCTGAAATGTGACCTCCTCAGTCAAAAAGGTAGAAAATAAACTAAAATGGAATATAAAAAAATATTAAAAGAATCCCAAATAAGTCTAGGAAGGGGAAGCAGAGAAACAGAAATGGAGGAAACCAGCAGAAAAGAAATGATAATATAGAAGACCAAAATCCAGCCACACCAGTAGTTATATTAAATGGAAATAGTCAAAATACAACAATGAAAATCATGATAATGTCCGATTGGAATTTTGTAAAAGTGCCAACTATATTTTGGCAACCAAAAACACATTTTAAATATAGTGATATAGATAGGTAACAACAAAAAGCTGGAAAAGATATACCACAGAAACAAATTGAAAGCAAAAAATTCAATTTTTCTCTATGTGAAGTTAAAAAATTAAAACAACTAAAAAAAGATGTGGGCAGGGGAAGAAGCAATGAAATATATAAGACTGAGTAATTAGAGGTCTGCATGAAAAACCAAGAGAAAGCAGAATCTTTAAAAACAGTTTTAGTGGGAAAGATTGATTAACAGAGAAGCTGACTAGCTTGAGTGCTGAAAACATTAGTTAGTTGAGAGCTGTATGCCCTTCATAGGGACACTTTGTTCAGGAAGCATTTTGACTGGGCTTGTTTGTGAAGTTAATGGCTAAGTTAACCAGAAGTTAATGGGTTAAGAACATTTGTTTTCCTCTTTTCCCTCTTGAAAACCTACCAAGATAATAGTAAAGGAATAAAAAAAGATATAATGCTGCAAGTTTACAGATAGTAGAGAAGAGATGTTCAGGCACCTCAAACTGCCATTCTCGATCTAAATGCCTCAAACTTAAATATAAATGGGTAGCCAAGGATCAGAGCTTAAGGGAAATGAAATAGAGACTGAAACAAACAAACGAGTAATCATAAGTGTATAGCAGTGGTCCCCAGCCTTTTTGGTACCAGGGACCAGTTTCATGGAAGATAATTTTTTCAGGGGATTCAGGCGTCAGGGTGGCGGGGTGATGGTTTCGGAATGAAACTGTTCCACCTCCGATCATGGGGCACTGGATTCTCATAAGGGGCACATAACCTAGATCCTCACATGCACAGTTCACAATAGGGTTTGCACTCCTATGAGAATCCAGTGCTGCTGCTGATCTGACAGGAGGCACAGCTCAGGCAGTAATGCTTACCTGTGGCTCACCTCCTGCTGTGATTGAGATGTAAGACTGAGATGGAGATTGAGATTGAGATGTAGATCTACATCTCATATACCAGGGGTCCCCAACCCCTGGTATATAGAGCTGATGGGAGAAGGGGAGGCATGTGAAGTGGTAGTGTGAGACAGCTAAATTCTATTCTATGTGGTACACATTAGTGGCTGTGTGGTTTGTTATTTATCATCCTTATATTAGAGAGATAATTAATGCAGAAGAGAAAAATTATAATATTAAATAACAGTGGCTAACTTTATTCTAAGTAATGCTAATAGTCATCTTTTATGTCTATTGTTGATAATTACTGCCTAATTACCATGTAGTATAATAATGATTATATATAGAGAGTCAAGTTCACTTTTGAAAGTTTCATCTGATTACAAAACTAAATTTATTTTAGCCTTTTAAGTTACATGGTCATCCTTGAAACTTCCAAAATTAATGGGAATGTTTGTAATAAAGCTCACTTACACTTGTAAGTTTGCCTTAATTTTAGCAAAAAAAAAAAAAAAATCCTCCTAGAGAGATGTCTGGAAGCATTTTATTAGATTATATTTGATCAGACAATAATTAAAAAAATTTTCTTCCAAATAGTTCCATTTGGTGTCATATATGCTTCTTGAATCAATGTGGGGTGTCCACATCTACAGATTGGTCTGTGACTAATACTGCGTCCTCCAGCAGGATCTCTGAGTGCTCAGATTAACCTTAATACTCCCTCTTCCACCCCCAATAACAGCAGAAAATTTATCCTACCCTTCAAAGACAGCCTCTTCCCTCTGACATAGCCAGGGAGGGTTTGTGGAAGGGAGGAGGAGTGGGAGGGAGAGAGAGAGTGTGGGCTTTGATTAGCTCTTTTCTGGCTGGGTAGTGTCCTTTGGGGCTGCAGATTTCTGCTGTCTGGCTTCCAGGAAGGAAGCCTGGAGGGATTTCCTTTTGCCACTCCACAGAAGAGTGTAATATTCCCCACTGCTCTGCTTGATCAAGTGACATCACAACAAATACTTTCCAGGAAGATTCCTGCTGAAGCAGTCTTCTGGGGAAAAAGCAGTGCTATTTTCATTCCTTCATAGATTCAGGACTCTTTCAGAAGCCCTTCCTATATTATAGCAATCAGTAAAATCAATCTACATCTCATATATAAAATGTATGTAAATATCATGCAGTTGACATGATATAATATTTTGTTTTGCCGTTATATATTTAAATATTTTCTTAATTTAAATGTAGCGATGTTCTTATTTTACTTTAGGCCTCAAATATTTCTGTAGGACTTTGAAAAGCCATGAGCTTCAGACACTGTCCCTGGGGCCTGATAAAGGAAAGAGCTCTGGGCTACGGTGGCAGGATCTCTTGTGGACTTAGCCCTTCCAGTGCTTTGAAACAGCCTCTTCCTAGGGGCCACTGGGATCCTTCCCAGCTGACTTCCCTAACTTCAGATCTGGGGATTAGAGTTTCCATTTCTCCCTTGCAGGAGAGCTTATGGATCCTTGACAAGAGACAATTTCTCACCAGAAGTGTGGATTCCAAAGGCAGGAGCAGCCCCAGCTCATCCACACAGACCCTTTCCCCAACCTGGATGCCTGCTTGTCCTATAGTCACATAACATCAAAGGTTCTCTCCCGGTACATTTCCTTTTCTGTCTAGATAGAGAAGTCTCCAGAGGAGTTCACTGGGAATAAACAATAGAAAGAAAGTAAATGAGATAGATACCTCATTACCCATTGCAGGTCAAAACCATAGGAAAAAATCCCCATTCTTGAGTAGAGACCAGTAGTACAAGATTCTGAGTGAGTCTACAATAATAGGTTTCCTTTGTTTCATCTGTTCTTATTTGATGTGATACTACAAGGAAAATATAAAGTTTTAGAAAGATGTGTATTTTAATGCTTGTGTCACATGTATTTAGGAAGATGTATATCTTAATGCTTGTGTCATTGTGGAATCACAGTTAGAAGGAAGTTTAAGATAGCACATAAAATAATGTTGCAAAATTAACAAAAGCTTATAACATTATTTCAGGATTTTAAACAAGCTGCACTGATAAGCCGGACTAACGGGAGCCTTTGTCACGCCACTGCCATGTGCCATCACAGGTATGGAGTGCAATTGATGTCAAAGTGGAATCAAGCAGGACCATCAGACTTATCTAATTATCACCCCATAAACAAGCCAGGAGAGAATGGAAGAAACTGGGAGAAATTGTGAATGTTATAGAGTACAAAAATGGGGAGGGACACAAAGAGTTCCCTGTGTAGACACGGGGACCACACTTAGTGTTCCTCAGCACCCTTCTGCCTTCTAATAGACTGTTTTACACAAATTAGCAGGCAAATGCTTCCATCATGGCATTGGGCAGAGTTCACCTGATCCAAGCATAGGTGCTGGGAAAGGATCGTGGCAATATGTAGAATAAAATTATGCATAGCTCGAAATATCTAAGCATAAAATAATTTATTTTGTTCATAAAGTGGGACTATTATAAAGTCTCTTTCCTGGAAGAAAGGGTGATTTTTAAAAATTATGCATTTTTAAGATAATTTTGCATTTAAAAACGTAACTAAATATAATACTAAGTAAAAAACACCAGGAAATATCTATAAAAAACACAATACGTAAAGCAAAATCACTTCTTCCTGGGTTTATTATAAAAATAAGTTATAGAAGAAGAGATGAAAACACTTACATAAGGTTAAAATATAGAAGATAATCAGCTTAAAATATACTCTGAAATAATATTATAGTATATAGACTTTGTTAGCCATAATGTTTATGTTTCTACATATATATTTTACATCATAAAATTAACTTTTGGTAATTTTGCTTTTAAAATTATTGAGATTCAGCCTGCGAGGATTTTAATTTGTGATGAAATGTATTTGGTTAAATAATAGTTTATAGCTTTTTTTCCCCTAAGAAACAAATAATACCAGTTAATTTGGAGGATTAAGTTAGAATAGTTCCAAATTATGTAGACTGGGCTGTATAAATACCCAGTTTAGAGAGTGAAACATAGTTTGAATTATTTAGGAAATTGACATCCTTTTCTCTTTGAGGACATATATAGTACAGCTACATTCTCCTATGAAAGTTTTTTTTTTAATTTTATGAGCAGAGTAATACCATAACTGGAACTTCTGAAGGTGTCTTTGTGTTAAAAGGCTTAAACTGGTCTCAGACCTTTCATTTTGTACAGACAGCAAAACCCGGTCTTACCATTGTCTATTTTAATCCAGCAACCTTTGTACAATCTATCTCTTTAAGTAATTGTCATTCTTAAGAGATGGAATAACGATGACTGATGTATTTGTTTTGGTGGGTGGGTGAAGACCAAAAGTGTCCGAGCTTGTTGCATTCTGTTAAAACTAAAAACAGGCTCCAAAACTACTCTCTACCTCACTCCTATGTTTAGCAACCATTAGAGCCAGTAAATTTCTCTGTATGTCAGTTCACAATCTCTTTTATGAAATGTAATCACTGGGTATATACAGGAGAGCCTCCTTAAGCTGATACTGCTTTGCAATTCCAAATAACCAATTTTCATAACCCAACTAGAATCTCTATTGTTCTTTAATAAAAGTAGAATTTAAATCAGCTGTAAACCTCTGAAAACTCAGAGTCCCAGTTCCACGTGTTTCGAGTTCTAAGTTTTGCTGAATTTCACAATATGGAGTGTTTAGTGATTGGTTATATTTATTTCAGGAAAAATATTTTTTGCTTTTCTAGGTGAGCTATAACAACCTTATACCACAGATGCATGGACTGTAACTATGGGGATTCATTCCTGATGTGTCTTACAGTAGGGAAAGTAAACATTTTCTCATTAGGAAAAATTCTTTAAATAAATAAATTTTTAAATTTTAAGGCTTTGATCTTTGATCTCGTGGGGTTGCAGACTTTTGAAGTATCCTTTGTATATCTCTGGTTCTCACTCTTGTGGTTGCTAGGAGACAACATTCCTTAGGCTTGAATATCCTACTTGTTGCCCAATTTAGTCACCACGAGTGTTATGGTAGAATTAATTTTTAGAACTGAGAATGCCACTTTCATATTTCAAAAAATAATATCATAGAGGGAGATTACTCAGAGTTATATATCCTATCTACTTTTTACTTCAGCACATTTATTTTACTATTCTTACATATTGGGGCATAAAATATTTTTGAGTCTTTAACTCTTCAAGCCAGATTCTTTAGTTTGGGAGGGGATTTGTGATTTATTTGTACAACTCAGTAGGGCACATCTGGTCACGTATGTGATTAATTTGGAAAATGCAGTGGGCCTTTGTGTCTGTGGCCTAGTGGACAAGCTCAGCACATGATCCCTTGTTCACAGAACGTCGTAAGTAGAATCATGCACCTCCAGTAAGTTATCATATTGCTCTAGATTTATGCGAACACATTTTATTTTAGAAAAACTCATTTAACATACTTTTACACTTGTGGTAACTGATGCTTAACAATTTATATCTCATTGAACGTGTAACCTGACAAGAACGTAGATATTCTGCCACATTTTCCCATTGGCTAACTGTCATGCAGTTACTTAACAAGGACTTCAACCTGTAGGACACTGTGACAGACATATATTCAGAGATGAAATTACTGTTTCTACAGTGGCATCTGCTCATTTTTTTTCTTCCTGGTCTATTGGTGCAGGAGGCTGGGAAGCCTCTGATTTTCAGCACTTTCACCTCCCTGGACTTGATTTTAGTCACTATCGGCTTTGAGGAGCTTGCTAGCTGTCTTTCAAGATCTCTTTTCAGCTTTAAGATTTAGTGAACATTTACTGGGTCTGAACAGACTAGCTGCTCATTAAACATTAGTGCTGATAACTTGATGGGTACAGAAAAATAGCTTCAATCACTGCCATTTGGTAATTCACAACTTATATGACGTGGTGAGCTTCAGTTCGCTGCCTCATTTTTCTAATTGGTTAGGCTATACAGAAGGCAAGATTGTATTTCATAAACCATATATTAGAATATGTACTCACAAAGGATTTTTAATTTCACTGGGTAAGAGGGGCCAGGGTGTATGATGCAATTTGGATGTCAATATTACTAGGGGCATTTCAATGAATTTGGTGGAGAATATAAGAGAAGGGGATTTCCCTGGAAATGTCCATTGACCTGGTCACCATAGGTATGCATCATAAGTAAATGCTTCACTACCCACAGATAGAAATACTAAACACAACAAAACCTGTCAACTAAATGCATTTTACACAGAATGACTATGATTCCTGATAAGGAATTATTGTTATACTATAGTGAGAAGGCACTTGGAAAGGCAAAGTGGTCTTCTTCTTCTTCCTCCTTCTCCTCCTCCTTCTCCTCCTTCTCCTCCTTCTCCTCCTCCTTCTCCTCCTTCTTCTCCTCCTCCTTCTTCTCCTCCTCCTTCTCCTCCTCCTCCTCTTCTTCCTCTTCATCCTGTTCCTCTTCCTCTTGCTCTTCTTCTTCTTCTTCCTCTTCTTCTTCTTCTTCTTCTTCTTCTTCCTTCTTCTTTCTTTTTTCCTTTCTTTTTTTTTTGAGATGGAGTCTTACTCTGTTGCCCAGGCTGGAGTACAATGGCATGATCTTGGCTCACTGCAACCTTTGCCTCCTGGGTTCAAGCAATTCTCATGACTCAGCCTCCTAAGTAGCTGGGACTACAGGTGCATACTACCATGCCTGGCTAGTTTTTTGTACTTTTAGTAGAGAAGGGGTTTCACCATGTTGGGCAAGCTGGTCTTGAACTCCTGACCTCAGGTGATCCACCTGTCCTGGCCTCCCAAAGTGCTGGGATGACAGACATGAGCTACTGTGCCCGGCCTGACTTTTACTTCTTAAATAGTGCCAATTATCAGGAAAGAGAGCACAATTTCATTGTATACTACTTGAGGAAAGTGACCTTGTGTTGTCTGAGTAACTCAAAAGGCAGCATCTGATTCCCATATGTGGATGTTAACCTTTGCTTGCTTGTAACATCAGAAGCAAGCCTTCTTAATGCTTCACTGTGGATTGTTGTGTGATCTTCTAGAAGAACACCTGTTGCACCACATTTGGGAAAACATGGAGCAAGTATTGCATGTACCTGTTATTTTTCATGGCCTGGACAAGCATTAAAAAAATACCGTATCACATTGTGAGAAACTGAATTGCCTTTCAGTTTCAAAATGAATTCTTTCTCAAACCTTCTGAACACATCAAGGAGAATGTCTCAGCTAAGAGCTAGTCTTTTTTTTTTTTTTTTTTTTTTTTTGAGATGGAGTTTCGCTTTTGTTGCCCAGGCTGGAGTGCAGTGGCATGATCTCAGCTCACTGCAACCTCCGCCTTCCAGTTTCAAGCGATTCTCCTGTCTTAGCCTCCCGAGTAGCTGGGACTACAGGGGCCTGCCACCACGCTTTGCTAATTTTTGTATTTTCAGTAGAGACGGGGTGTCACCATGTTGGCCAGGCTGGTCTGGAACTCCTGACCTCGTGATCCACCCACCTCAGCCTCCCAAAGTGCTGTGATTACAGGCGTGAGCCACCGTGCCCGGCCAGAGCTAGTCTTTAAAAACTTTGTTTGTAATCAATGGTGCAGCACTCAGGCTGTGTTCTGCAGAATAAAGTATCCAGCTCCAAGCTTATCATTTTAGCTTATTATTTTATTTATGGCATGAGATAATTTTTCAACTTATGGTATTTAAATTAATTTGCTTTTAAAAATAAATATAGTTAAGTAAAAAAAGTAAGTTGACTTAAAAGAAAATATTTAGTAAATGATAGTGTAGGTGGAACCTGGGGCAACTTTCATGAAGGAAGGGGTAGTTTGGGAATCACTGGTTTAAGAGATACTCTTGAGTAACCTCTAGAAGATGATAATTTCTGGAACAGTTTATCCTGGGCTCCATGTATTTTATAAAGGAAAAATGGGCAAAGTAGTGATACATCTTACTAAAATTTGAAACCTGTTTGAGAAGTAATGAAGAGAATGGAAGGAAGATATAATCTTTATTGGGTGAAGGTTTCTGTGCTAGGTGTTCTTCACATGTTCTTATCTGAGCCTCATAACAACCTTGAAAAATTAATATTAATTTGCATGTTCAGGCTCAAATCTAAACTCCAAGACTTTCTTCTGGCTACCTTGTTGAGATACCAGCTCACTGTTTCTTGTGCACCAACCACAGGTATATAATAGGTGTAGAATGTGTGGTAGAGGTGGCTGTGTGGAAAAGCATGGATTTTGGAGTAAGGCTTACATGAATCTCAGATATTTTCTCTGTGCAAGCATAGTATGGTAGTTACTGTGCCATTACCTGTGTGCAGACTTTTCTGTGCCATAATTTTCCTTTCATGTGTAAAATGTAGATAATTATAACTAGCTTACAGAATTGTTGGAAGTATTAAAGGAAATACCATATGTTAAGTATTTAGCACAGTACCTGGTAAGTAAACACTGCTAGTTGCTAGTATCCTTATTCCATTCCATTTTCAAAAATCCTAGACTCTCTCCATGTTAATTGAAACTAAATATTATTATTAGATATGCATATGAAATGGAGAAGTGACTTTATATGCCCATGAACAAACATTTGATGCCTTTAGCAGCCTTAACCTCCACCACAAGAGAGTAATTAGGGAGGATAGAGAGAGTTATCATTTAGCCAAATACATTCACAAGTTGATAAATAAAATGCATTTTACTTTTTTCTCTCCCCTCCTCTCCTGGTGTCCACAGTGAAATGGCCTGCCTTTATAGGAGATCTGATGTAAGGACTCCCATGTGATGAAAATCTGGCTGTTTTCATTGTATAAGGAAATATTAAATACATATAAATAAGTTTAATTTAATTTTGAAAGTACATTTCATCAATAGTAGCATATGTTTTTCTATACTGGTAATTGATACCTGTTAAAAACAGATTTAAGAATGCCATGTGGACTTTAATAACTTGAGAAAGATCCAGAATATCATCCCATCACATTCTGCTATGAAAATGACCCTTTCTTGCCATCTTTCCTTTTACCAAAATCTTCGAAGGACCTGTCACACTTCCTTAGTCATATGGACTTATGTGCCTACCTCCTACAATGGGTAATAGAAATGGAGATTTTTTAATGAGTCAATTCAAATCTTTATGGAAAAGTCAGTTATAGGAAAACATTGTATATGTCACCAGAATGCATCAGTTCACCAGAAGGCATCAATATTTTTATTTATTTGCAGAATTAATGAGTTTGAAGAAGCTGTCAATTTCTTTACTTGGGCTCTTAAAATTAACCCATGTTTTCTGGATGCTTATGTTGGACGGGGAAATTCTTACATGGAATACGGTCATGATGAAGCCACCAAGCAAGCACAGAAAGACTTTCTGAAAGCACTGCATATTAATCCAGCATACATAAAAGCCAGAATTAGTTTTGGCTATAATTTGCAGGTAATATAGCAACATTTTGAGCATTAAAAGCATGTTTTGGGGAGAAAGAATATATTTGGCTCTTTCCTGGCAATGGGAGTATATGTTATTTCTTTGGTTATGAACATTTACCTTTTCTTTACTTTTAGGTTCCAGAGTAGCAGTGGGAGCAGGGGTTTAGTTAGTTATAGAGAGGCTGCCTGGATCTGGATCAGCCTGGGGAGCTGGTAGGCTGGTTAGATGAAAGTCTTTTGAACCTGAGCTTCCTTTATGTCTGCACCCCTCCCTACCTTCCTCCTCACTTACAAACAACTTTTAAAATTTGCCTGATGAAGTTCATCTATAAGAACCTGGGTAACATTTATTTTACTAGCTTATATACCTAGGCCCCACAGGTTTTGTCCTGTTGCATTAGTGAAAAGCTAAAGGGAAGAAAATTAGCCATTACTGGATCACAGTAGAAATTTGCAAAGTCCATTTAAAGAGAGGGATTTCCAAGGCAGCTAGAGCTGACTGCAATCCAGTGAAATGTGTTAAGATCATCATCATTCATTGCATTCAACAGACATTAACTGAGCACTAAATGTAGAACGGAAACTGCTCTAGGCCTAGGGATATAGCAATGAACAAGATTATACTTCCTTCTTCTTGCAGAGTTTACTACCCAGTGGAGAGATAGGCATCAAACAATTAATCATATGAATAATTGATTATAATCATGATAAGTGCAACAAAGGAAAAGGATGAGTTTTAGTATAACTTGTAGAAAAATAACCTAGCTTTGTTTGAGAGGTGAGAGAAAGTTTTTTGAGAAATTAACAATGTTGAGATGTGAAAGCAGGGGCCGTGGCTAGGATACAGTGTTCCGTAAAGTGGAACCAGCCCATCAGAAAGTCTTGTAAGAAAGAGACAAGAGGGCCCAAGTGAATGGAATGTTATGGGCAAAGGGAGCAGGGCATGAGATGAGGCTGGAGTTAAAGGCCTTATGGTCCAGTTAAAAATGTGAATTGCATTAATAGGAGAAGTGACATCAAATTTGCATTTTATGAAGATCTCACTGGGTGTATAGCAACCTGAAAAAGAATTGAAAAGCACAGGAGTGTAAAGAATTGAGTCAGGAAGGAGGACTGCAAAAGGAGAGTTAGGCCCATCTGAGTTCTGTCCAGGGAAAGAGCAACAGTTTGTTCAACAAATACTTACAGATTCCCTTACTATTTGCCTAGCACTAGAAATATAGAAATGAGCACAACAGATGTGGTCTGGAGCAGATGACAGAGATCTTACTGTGAGGCAGTTTGCTATTTAATATCCTAATAATCTAATCTCAATTTGCCTGATTCCTTGTTTATTAAATGAGCTTGTGTTGACAGTGTGGATTTACAAATGGTTTACCCAGAGAGAGAAGATTTGATGGTCAGGAAACAGGGTCTTGTTCCCTTAACAGTTGTATTTCTTTTTACTTTTATATGAGAGTCCCTAGGCTCAGCTTGGTTAAAGTGAGTCAGCTTCCGAGATCTGGCAAGATGGGTTTTTTTAGCCCATCAGAAAAAAAGACAGACTCCAGACTGTACTGAATTTATTAACTCACTGCCTTTCTGTGGAGGCATTTAGTTGCCAGCTGGTCTTCTCTAGGAAGCACTCTGACATCGTTCTGTTAACAATGCCCCTCTCCTGACCTTTTTCTTTCTTTTCCAGTTGGTATAAACAGAAGCTTGGTAGATTTGCATGTATTTTCCATGGAATACGTATAGTGATACTAAAACTCCAGATGCTGGCGTGATTTATCAGAATATGTTTACACCATTAGTTTATTAATTTATTATTCAATACATATTTATGTTATTATGTATATTATGTATATATTATCTATAACTGGAGATTCAGTGCGAACCAAATAAATACAATCCCTCCTTATGTGTGTGCAGCTCAATGCGCATTTTTCTGTGTTGGTAAAAACCACTGGCGTTTCACATGGTGGCTATGATTTTATGTTGTCCGGGATTGGTACAGGAGATGACTCGGAAGTTAAATTTATTTTAATTAATTAAAATTTCATCATAAATACTCAGAGGTAATTAGGCAACTGAATGCAGCCACAGTATGCATTCAGTATGCCTACTTTCTGGTTTGAAAGAACTTAGATTTAGCATGGCATAAATATACCCTTACTAAAGGTTTTATTTGATGGAGTCAGAATCATAAACGTTTGTCATGTTATGGAGTATTTCCTACTTCGTGTAATTGGAAAATTATTTTAGGCCCAAGGAAAATTCCAGAAAGCTTGGAACCACTTTACCATTGCCATAGATACTGATCCAAAGAACTACCTAGCCTATGAAGGAAGAGCTGTGGTCTGTCTTCAGATGGGTAATAATTTTGCTGCAATGCAGGATATTAATGCTGCCATGAAGGTAAAAACCATCTTAGATTATATTATTATTAGCATAAATTAACACTGTCAATGAATAGGTGCAAGTAAGAAGTTCTCTGTTAGCTTTTTAAAGTGACTTATGGAGAAAATAATGTTTTGTATTTTTTTTTAACCCAAGTGATCCCTAGGGTAAAGAGTTATGGCTTGCCAATTTTATAACTGAAATGCACTAAAACCCCAAAGTTCTGATAAATGTTGATCACTTTCAGTAAATACGCTTTATACTTTCATGGGACATCAATATTATTTTGTAATACAAAGTGAATGCATAACATAAAATAATGTTCTAGGTTTGAAGGAACTAAAGAGAGAACAATGTAAATCCCCAGAATCTTCCTGTAGTGAAATGACAAGTAAAAATCTCATGTTGAATGCAGTGACAGAAACTCTTCTTTACTTCTAGCTTTTGGGTTTTGATTCTGTAGATTTGGGCAGATGTTGTAGTGTTTGAGATGAGAAAAAGGAAAGAACTGAAAGATAATTGCTACTACATAGGACAAATAAGCCTGTTAACTATTCAATTTAATTTATTCTCTAGCTTAACAGCTAAACAGATAAGCTTTTCCACTTTGTCTATTCCTTGGAAAGGAACTGAGTGAAAAAACACTAAGATTATTTGTTTTATTGCAACCAAATCAACAAAGTGTTGACACTAAACCAACTTCATACCAACTCCTTTCTCAAAATATTTGTTCTACTGGAGTTTTACATGCACTATAAAATTACTCATTTCCCACAAGTAGATTCCCTAATGTTCATTTTGGCAGACATGACATCAGAGGTAAATACTATTCCCCAATGTTAAATAATCATAATATTATACTGCAGATCAGTACTACAGCAGAATTCTTAACAAATCGTGGGGTGATTCATGAGTTTATGGGCCACAAACAGAATGCAATGAAAGACTACCAAGATGCAATTACTCTAAACCCCAAGTACTCGCTGGCTTACTTTAATGCAGGAAATATCTACTTTCACCACAGGCAGTTTTCCCAGGTAATGTGAGTTTTACTTAACGCTTTCTTTTTGACCTGGAATGCTTTCTTTATTATATATAGCTTCAAAGTATAATTCATACAATCTCAGGCTAATAATGCATTGGCTATTAGCTCTTTTATTTAAAATGTTATCTTTCATAAGAATGTTTATAATTTATCCATTAAATATTTATGCCTCTATGGATTTATTCTCCTCATTAACACTTGTAAACATTTTTTTCTTTCATATTTTATCATAATAAATGTCTTGCTAGAATCTTATTGAGACATAATTGACATACAACAAATCGCACATATTTAAAATGTACGATTTGATGTCTTGACATATGTGTACCCCTGCAAAATCATCACTACAATAAAGGTAATAAACATATCTATCAGCACCAAAAGTTTTCTCATGCTCCTTGATATTTTATCCTTCTTTCCCTGAAAAATATGAAATGCTTCATGAATTTGCATGTCATCCTTGCACAGGGGGCTTGCCAACCCTCTGTGTGTTGTTCCAGTTTTAGTGTATATGTTGCCGAAGTGAGCATCCAGTAAACATCCTTTTGGACTTCCCCAAGTGTGAGGACTTGCCTTGTGATATCTATTGTCACTAACTTCCAGCCTTGAATCCTCTGTTCTTTCCCCCACTTAGACTTCCTTCAAGACCCTCCTTATGATTATCTAACTCACCTTAATTTATACTTTTTCCAAATTTCTGCCATGGGACCACTGGACTGGGAATAAGAAGACTTGGATTTTAGTTCTGGTTTTGTGTGACACCTTAATCTCTTTGGACTTCAATTCATAATGTCTGAAACAAAAATGTTGGGTCATTAGATGATGATATTTTCTATTTTTTGAATTTATTTCATTTGAATCATAATGCATTTACATGATTCAAACTCTTAATTTTTAAATTTTTCCTTTTTATTTATAGTCACTCTTTTTTCTGCTTCCCTTCAATTTATCTTGTTATTCTTTATCTTTTTGAGTTGGAAGCTTAATTAATTTATTTTCACCCTTTCATTTATATTGTAATAAGTTATTAAAAGTATGCCTTTTACCCAAGTACTGTTTTGGCAGCATTCCACACATTTGGCTCTGTAATGTTTGCTTGTTTAGCTCTGGTGAAATACACATAACATAAACTTTACCATCTCAACCATTTTTAAGTGTACATTTCAGTAGTGTTAAGTATATACTGAAATGGTTTTATTAATGTTTTCCCCAGATTTTCCACCTGTAATTTCTATTTCCCATTTGACTAAAGAATAAATTAACAGAGCATTTAACCAGATGGAAGGACATTTATATTTTCTACATTCTGGAATTTATTGAGTTTTAATGAAGTCTAATATAAAAACATTGTTTTGAATATGTCAGGGTCATTCCTAAGAAAGGGTATCTACTATCAGGATGTGGATTTAAGTCTACATTTAGGAAGTCTATGTTATTAATTAGTTTACATTCATACTTTTTTTTCACTTGGTTTATCTTGGACTGAGAGATTTATTCAAGTATCCTGTTATTTGAGGGTTCCTATATATTTCTCTTTGCATCTCTTGTAATGCCTGCTTTGTGAAAATTGCTGCTACATTATTTCATGTATAGATATTTATACCTAATATATATGCATTATGAATTATAGCCTTCAGCACTACAGATTTCCTCCTTTGTTTCTTTTAATACTCTGTGGAACAAATTCTCCTTTGTGTGATATGAGGATCATGACCTCTGAGACCTTCTGATTTGCTTTGCCTGGTATTCCTTTGCTTTTCCTTTTATTTTCAACTTTTAAAATCCTTTGTTTTTGGTATGTCTCTTTTATACTGTATAGAATCGGATTTTACTTTGAGAGCTAATTTGAAAATATTTTTCTTTTAATAGGCAAGTTAAGCCCATTTAATTTTGGCATGATCAATACATTTGATCTTAGTTCTGTTATTTTATGTAATGCAAGTGTGTTTATGTTAAAGGTATTTTGAAAGTATTTAACTCCCTGGTTTTTTATTTTTTGGCTTTTTTTCAGTTTTTGTAATATTTAGGAAGGTTTATAGTTTTGTTGTAGTGATTATCTTTATAAAAATAACATTAATACTCTTAGTTTAGTTTCTCTACTATGAACAACAATAAAATTACCCTGTAAACTCCTCCTCTCTCTCATTCATTATTCAATTTTAGTAATTTTTTAAAAAAAGTTTATCCTCATATTCTTAAATATGCTTGAGCTTATTATGTCAGCTTGTCACATAAACTTGGTTTCCACAGTCTCTTGGGTATAAAAATTGGTATGAATTAAGGTGAGTTAGATAATCACATCATAGGGATGGTCTTGAAGGAAGTCTAAGTAGGGGAAAGAACAGAGGATTCCAGGCTAGAAGCTGGTGACAATAGATATTGCAAGGCAAGTGCTGACACTTGGGGAAATCCAAAAGAATAGTTACTGTGGGTTCACTTGGGCAACACATAAATTAATTCTCCCATTTTGTTGTAAGTTTTATTATTTCTACACTGCCTGACCAAGATTTAATATTTATGTATTATTTTGTTACCCTTATTGCACATTTTAGTCTTAGTTCTTCAGTTAAATATATTCAGTTCTCATCACCAGACTATTTGCCAAACTCCCCTTCCCCACAATAATTTCTTGGTTGTCTGAAATTAGTCCTCTGGTAGAGTTCTAAGGAGGGGCTCCTGAGAACAATATTCCTTGGAGTTTTGCATGTTGATAGCTGTTTGCCTGTAGCCTATTTTATACCTTAAGACAGCATGGCTCCTTGACTCATTTTTCTTTCCTTGAGTGTCTTGTAAGTGCTGCTTTCTTTTCTGGTGGTATATGTTGGTGTCAAGAAGCATGATGCAAAACGGATTTTCTTTTTCTTAAAAGCAACTTGCTCTTTTTTGTCAAGATAACCACATTTTTTTTTAAGGGAAAAGTTTTACCAAGGTATTCCTTAGAGTTGACCACTGCAGGTTAAATTTATCAAGTACACAGTATATGTTTTCAGTACATAGATTTCAGATAAGTGTTGTTGAATTCAGTTAACATTTTTTTTTCTGTTTCATTGTTCTGATTTTCTTCACTGGGGATACCAATTATATAGATGTTGTATATTCCTTAATTTTGATTTATTCTTAATTTTTTTATTTCTTAATGTCTGTTTCATTTTCTTTGTCTTTCTTTTGTATTTTTCCTAAATCTTTATACTGTTTCCTGAGATACCTGTTATCCCTGTGGACCTCATAAGTTAGATTTCCTTTTTATTTTATTTTTCTAGTTCTATCCTATTTCCATGCCATTTTTTCCTGGTCACCTCTTTTCTGGGTTCCTGTATTTCTGATTCATTTTTTCTTGATGGCAATTGCTTCCTTAAAAATTTTTTTCTAAAATAGATTTTTTTAAATGAATTTTTTTCAAAATCATTTTATTTCAAAATGTTATATTTTTTATTGATACATACTAATTGTACATATTTATGGGGCACATGATATTTTGATATGTGCATACAATGTGTAATGATGAAATCAAAGTAATTGGAATATGCATCACCTCAAACATTTATCGTTTCTTTATGATGAGAATATTTCAAATCGTCTAGCCATTTTGAAATATACAATAAGTTATAACTATAGTCACTCTGCTGTGCTATCAAATACTAGAACTTATTTCTTCCATATAACTGTATTTTTGTTCCCATTAGCCAACCTGTCTTCATCCCCTCGCCCACCCCTCCCAGCCAATTGTAACCATCATTCTACTCTCTCTGTTTATGAGACAAAGTTGTTTTTTTTAAGCCTCCAAATATGAGCAAGAACATGTGTTGTCTTTCTGTACCTGGCTTATTTCACTTAACATAATGTCCTCTATGCTCACCCATGTTGCTGCAAATAATAGGATTTTATTCTTTTTAATGACACAATAGTATTCCATTGCATATATGCAACACATTTTCTTTATCTATTCACCTGCTGATGGACACTTAGGGTGATTCCATATCTTGGCTATTGTGAATAGTTCTGGGCAAACCTGGGAGTGCAAATATTTCTTCAATATACTGATTTCCTTTGTTATGGATATATACCCAGCAATGGAATTGCTGGATCATATGATAGTTCTATTGTTTTGAGGAACCTTCATACAGTTTTCCATAGTAGCTCTACTAATTTACATTCTCACCGTTAGTGTACTAAAGCTCCGATTCTCTGTATTCTTGCCAGACGTTTTTTTTGTGTGTGTTTTTCTTTGTTTGCAATAGCCATTTTTTTTTTCTGGAACAATAGCCATTTTAACTGAGGTGAGATAATACCTTATTGTGGTTTTGATTTGTACTTCTCTGATGGTTAGTGATGTTCAACATTTTTTTATAGATCTGTTGGCCGTCTGTTATGTCTTTTCAGATCATTGCCCACTTTTTAATGGGAATGAGATCTTTTTTGTTGCTGTTGTTTGAGTTCTTTATATATTCTGGTTATTAATTCCTCATTGGATGAATAATTTGCAAATACTTTATCCTATTCTGTAGGTTTTCTCTACACCCTGTTGATTATTGCCATTCCTATGCAGAAGCTTTTTCAGCTTGATATAAACCCACTTGTCTGTTTTTGCTTTTGTTGCCTGTGCTTTTGTGGTTTTAACTCTCGAAAAATCTGTGCCATATAAATCAATGTCTTGAACCATCTCCACAATGTTTTCTTCTAGTAGTTTTATAATTTCAGGTTTTACAGTTAAGTCTAATCCATTTTGATTTGATTTTTGTACATAAGGAGAGACAGGGGTCTAGTTTCTTTCTTCTGCAAATGGATACCAAGTTTTCTCAGTTTTGTTTATTTGGGTCTTTTCTCTCATTTTTTAGTTAGTCTAGCTATCAGTTTTGTTTATCTTTACAAAAATATAACTTCATTTTATTGATGTTTTGTATTTTTTAAGTCTTTATTTCTGCTCTGATATTTATTATTTTCTTTTTCTTTCTCTCTTTTTTTTTTTTTTTTTTTTTTTTACTAATTTTGGGCTTGGCTAGTTCTTGCTTTTCTAGTTTTATGAGGTGCATTATTACATTGTTTATTTGAAATCATTCTACTTTTTTGATGTAGGCATTCAACTCTATAAATGTCCCTCTTAGGTTTGCTGCATGTCATAGGTTTTGGTATGTTGTGTTTCCATTTTCATTTGTTTCAAGAATTGTTTTTATTTCCTTCTGAATTTCTTTATTGACCCAATGGTTGTTCAGGAGCATATTATTTAATTTTCATTTGCTTATTTAATTTCCAAAGCTTCTCTTGTTGTTGATGTTTTATTCCCTTGTGGTCTGAGAAGATACTTGATATGATTTTGATTTTTATTATTTGTTGAGACTTGTTTTGTGTTTTAATATGTGGCCTATCCTGGAGAATATTCCATGTACTGATAAGAATGGGTATTCTGGCCACGCGCGGTGGCTTATGCCTATAATCCCAGCACTTTGGGAGGCCAAGGTGGGCAGATCACGAGGTCAAGAGATCAAGATCATCCTGGCCAATATGGTGAAACCCTGCCTCTACTAAAAATACAAAAATTAGCTGTGTGTGGTGGTGCATACCTGTAGTCCCAGCTACTCAGGAGGCTGAGGCAGGAGAATCACTTGAACCTGGGAGGCGGAGGTTGCAGTGAGCTGAGATTGTGTCACTGCACTCTGGCCTGGTGATAGAGTGAGACTCCATCAAAAAAAAAAAAAAAAGAATGAGTATTCTGCAGCTGTTGGATGAAATGTACTGTAAATGTCTGCAAGATTCATTTGGTCTGTAGTGCAGTTTAAATCTGCTGTCTCTTTGTTGATTTTCTGTCTAGATAATCTGTCCAATGCTGAGTGAGGTGTTGAAGTCCCCAAATATTGTTTTATTATTAATGAGTCTAGCTCTCTCTCTTTACCTATAATAATTGCTTTATATATCTGGGTGTTCAAGTGTTTGATGCATATATATTTACAATTGTTATATTTCTTGCTTAACTGATCTCTTTATCATTATATAATGACATTGTTAGTCTCTTCTTATGTTTTTTGACTTGAAGTCTGTTTTGTTTGATATAACTCCTTGTTTTGGGTTCTGTTTTGTAGGAAATATCTTTTTACATCTCTTAACTCTCAGTCATGTGTGTCCTTAATGGGTAAAATGTGTTTCTTGTAGCCAGCATATAGTTGGGTCTTGTTTTATTATCCATTCAGTCAGTCTATATCTTTTAATTGGGAAATTTAAACTGGTTACATTCTGAGTTCTTTCGATAGGTAAGGACTTATTTCTGTCATTTTGTTGTTTTCTTATTGTTTTCTATATTTGTTCCTTTTTTTCTTTCTTATTGCTTATCTTTGATAATAAAATTTGGCAGCTTTCTATAATGATACCATTTGATTCCTTTCACCTTCTCCTTTGTGTGTCTGTTGTTTCAGTAAGTTTTATATTTTAGTGTATTTTTTATGATGGTGGATATTGTCTTTTGGCTGCCAGATGTAAAAATCTCTTAAGCAGTTCATGTAGGACTGGTCTCATGGTGATGTATTTCCTCAGTCTTTGTTTGTCTGGGAAAGACTATTTCTCCATCATTTTTGAACAATAACTTTGATGGGTATAGTATTCTTGCCTAACAGTTCTTCCCCCCAACCCCTCAGCACTTTGAATATATCATCTAATTCTCTCCTGGTTTATAGGATTTCTGTGGAGAAATCAGCTGTTAGTCTGACAGAAATTCCTTTATATGTGACTTGATACTTTTGGTGTTTTTAAAACTCTCTCTTTGTCTTAGACTTTTGACAGTTTGATGATAATGTGCCTTGGAGAGGGCCTTTTTGGGTTGAATCTATCTGGGGACATTTGAGCTTCCTGTATCTATATGTATATCTCTTCCAATATTTGGGAACTTTTCAGTTATTATTTTACTGAATAGGTTTTCTATGACTTTTTCTTTTCTTTTGAACTCCCAAAATTGAATATTTGTTCACTTGATGGTATCCTATATATGATGTAAGCTTTCTTCATTTGTTTTTATTCTTTTTATTATTATTGTCTGACTATTTCATTTCTAAAGACCTGTCTTCAAGTTTAGGAATTATTTCTCCTATTTTACTTAGTCTATTGTTGAATGTCTTGATTGTATTTTTTATTGCATTCATTGAATTCTTCAGTTCCAGGATTTCTCTTTGATTAATTTCTTATGATATCTATCTTTGTTCGATTTCTCATCTAAATCATGAAGTTTTTTTTATTTCTTTGTATTGTTTATCTGTGTTCTTTTGTTCTAAATTTCTTTAAGGTCAATATTTTGAATTCTTTTTCAAACATTTCACAAAATTTCTTTTCTTTGGGGTCTGCTACTGTAGATTTATTGCACTCCTTTTGAGGTGTATTTCTTTGCTTTTTCATGTTTCTTGTGTCCTTACATTGATATCTGCTCATCTGGTGTAACCATCACTTCTTCCAATTTTATTAAGTAGCTTCCATAGGGAAAGACTTTTTTCTGTAGATATATCTATAAAGTGAGTTGAATAGGGTACTTTGGCTTTGGTTCTGGGTGGGCACCAGAGAGTATTATAGTCTCCATATGATTACTTCATCTGTAATCAACATCAGTGGTGTCTGTGAGTTCCTTGGTGGCTTAGGCTGTGGTTATTTGTGGACACTGTGGTGAAGCTTTGCTGGAAATGGTGATGCCAGGCAGTCCAGTCCTCAGGCCCTGAGGTAGCACATGGGGGCCATTGCAGGCAGTGGTTTTTCCTGGGCGGCCAGTCTTTGCACTCCTGGCAGGGCACATAGGCACTGGCAGTGAGGGCGGTAGGCTGGGAAGGTCAATCTTTAGACCACTGGGCTGGGTGTGTAAGCACCAGTGGTGTCCATGGCAGGGTGAGTGTGGTGTGAAATGTTACAATTTTACTTTTCATTGTAGAAATACTATTTTTTCCTGGTGATTTTTTTAATTGTCTTTGAGACTTTGAGGGTAAGAGGTTTTTTTTGTGTGTGTGTCTTTAAGATGAGAGATACCAATTTATGCTCCAATGTTAATAAGAATAAACTAGTAAATTGTTGGTAAATGAGAGTGTCAGGGATAATTAGGATCAAAATCTTTGAGAATTTGATGAAGTTAAGAGTTTGGAAGTTGCAGATGTGGCCCTTGATGGGAGCAGAACACACTACCCATTATGTCATTAGGGAAGGCAGAGGGTTTGGGCACAGTTGAATGTAGATTTTGATAGTATGTAATCCTATCTATTGATTATATCTTCTCCATGGATGTAAGTATTAGTCACCAGTTAACAGTGGGAGTGAACGGTGAAGAAAGAAAGACAAGATGGCTAGAAGTTTTAAAGAGAAGAGAGAAAATGTTAAATAATTGTGTTAGAAAGTGGTAAGATCAACATATTAGAGTGTAACAACATTAAGTCCTCATTTGAGGTTTGTAGTTTTAAATTTCAAAATGAGATCTTGAGTCTTTCTTGCTTTGTATATAATTCTCTCTATACGGATTCAATACTGCTTTATGTCATGCAGTTGTTTCTGTGTTGATCTCTATCTCCTTACTCTGTAAGCTGTTAAGGGGCAGGAATCACACCCTGCCCTCTTATCTCTACATTTCTCTGCTCAGAAAGTCCATTTATTCTCATGACTTACACTACTTGAAACCCTCCTTCTTTCTTCTGAGCTCCTAACCCATATTTAAGAGTTGCTAAAACTGGATATTTTACAAGTTCATTGAAGCCCATTCTGAATTGATCTCTCCATCCATTATCCTCAGCCGAGCTTTCTTCATGTAAATCCTCTCTCAATTCGAGTTGTCATCTTCCATAAAGTCACTTGAATAGAAATGTCAGAGTCAACCATAACTTTCTCTTTCTTACATCCTTAAGCTAATGTCATCTAATCCTGTCAGTTTTACATCTATCCTGTCAGTAAAGACAATTGCTCAAAGATCAATTGTCTCTAACTTAACCAAACTCAGATCACTCTCTGGCTGGATCCTAGAAATGTTTATGTGCATTGTAGTTAGTTAATGTGATCAAGGCAAATAAAATTCCCAGGGCAATTTTCTATTTCCATAGATGTTTAAGATCTGCATGAAAGGGAGATCTTCACCTTTTTCACTCATTTGTCTTTGATTACTATATGGGCATCATGTAGAAAAGTATTTGGTTAGATCTAAAGTGTAGTTTAAATTTTTTTTTTAAGTATAACTCTATTCCTTCCAAAGTGTAGACAAATTATCTGGGCATATATTTCATCTAAAATATGTCCCATCCTTTGACTTGATATACTGTATGCCTGAGCTTTACAGTGCACACTCCCTCCAGAGACTAGCAGGCTTTGGGAACAGGTGTTCAGCTATTCTAGCATGCTTTGAGCCTCCTTCGTAGAGAAAATGGCTTCTATTCCCTGTCACCCTCTACCCTCATCCCCTTATTTCTTACTATAATGGAGGTAAGACTTAGGCTAGGAGGAAGGGTCCCTCATCTGATCTAATAAACTCTAGAGGGTTAAAAAATGTATGTAATCTGGCTTCTTTTATCTTTAGTGACTTAATGATAACCACTTAATGTGATTTAATGATCTTAAACCACAGTTGGATGTGCTACTTGCATACATTATGAACTACAGGTGACATTAAAAAATAACTGGATCTGCTTTTTAATTAATTACAACATAAGGGCATTAGACCAATTATTAAAAAATCAAGACCATCTGTTGTGGTAGATACCTTTAGCCTCTAACTGCTTCTTAGTTAATATTCTGATACTTCAAGTAACCTCATTAAATTTATAGGTTTCATTTTCTAAGTAATATATTTGGAAGCTATAGTAGAAAGTTACACAGTTCAAAGTTCTTTTCTCTTACCTGAGAAAAAGAATTTGCTTTTACATGATTGAAGGTATGCCTTGTGATGTATAATTGTGTCTTCTTTATTGATAATTTATTGGTGAATTAAAATGAAGTCTAAATTACTTTAGGAAGAAAGTCTTGGCCTGGCTTGGAGTCTTTCCCTTGACTCATTTCTGAGAACTGGGGGTGCAACCTTCTCTTCAGGAGTGAATCCTCTTCAAACTCTTCACAGAAGGATGTCAATTCTGTCCCCCCTCCCCCCAACCTGTCCCAGGGATGAGATGGATTTTACATCTTGAACTAATTACCTAATTAAGAGGAAGCAAAGTTCATGGAGTATTGCCTAAAGGTGATGTTCCCTCTCCATGTATAGACACTGGGAAAAACATGATATATAAGTAATAATTGATTGAGTCCTTACTATTTTCTGCATATTGTTCTCAGTATGTTACATATTAGTTCACTTAACCCTCACATCAACACTGGAAGTGGAGTTTTATTTGTTACCTTTGTTTTATAGATGAGGAAACTGATGCAAATAGAGTTTTAGTAACTCACCCAAAGAAGAGGCAGGATGTAAACCCAGCAATCTGACTCTATGGTCTGGGCTCCCAGCCACTGTGCAATCAGTGTTCCATATCACCCATGATGGAAGTGAATAGAGGACAGATCTTCGGGAAACATAGAGGAAAATAGTTCAGTGACAGAGAGAATTTTAAGAAGGAAGGAGAGACCAAATGTGTCCATGCCACAGAAATGTCATGGAAGACAAGAACTAGAATGTGTTCATTAGGCTTGAGGACATCTGCAACTTTAGCAACAACAGAATTCATGGAATAGGGGGAAATAGAAGCCAGATTGTGTTTGGTTGGGAAAAAGTTGAGTGTTAAGTAATTGGCGAGTGGCAAGCTGTACTGTGAAAAGTGACTCTCTCTTTAAGGTAGGTTTTAAAGTAGGAGCCAGGTTTTCATCCATCAGGGAGTTAGAGATTTCTAAATTGATTAGCAGGATGTCTAATCAGCATCTCAACTATTTGTGGTGAAAGGCCAGTTAAAAAAATTCTAGTATATTGTAAATAAATATACATTGCTAAAACCCAATAAAAACAAATTGCTAGAAATGTGATCAAGTGCTGGGATGTCATAGCCATGTCAAAATGCTATAAAAGTTACTTATTGTTTATTCTCAATTTTGGTACTTGCAGAGCTCTAGCAAATGGTTCTTGGACCAGTACTCCAATACTGTTTTGCAGACTAACTTGAGGGTCCCTTTCAGATCGAAGATGAGTTGTGAATAATCTTGAGTCTTTGGTCTTTTCAACAAGCTGATATTTCCTCTCTCTTTTTTATACCTTTTTATGGTGTAACTGAGTTTTTATCTCTCTTTGTATGTCTTAGAACCTTATTTTGAAAATTCCCTTGTGGTTGAGCTCTTACTTTGTTTTTGTACACAAAGTGTTACTTTTCTTTCTTCTTTTTTTTCTTGTTTACTTTTTTTAAAAAGTATACTTTAAGTTCTGGTGTACATGTGCACAACGTGCAGGTTTGTTACATAGGTGTAAATGTGCCATGTGGGTTTGCTACACCCATCGACGCATCATTTACATATCCCTCCCCCACCCACTGACAGGCCCTGGTGTGTGATGTTCCCCTCCCTGTGTCCATGTATTCTCATTGTTCAACGCCCACTTATGAGTGAGAACATGCGGTGTTTGGTTTTCTCTTCTTGTGTTACTTTGCTGAGAATGATGGTTTCCAGCTTCATCCATGTCCCTGCAAAGGACATGAACCCATCCTTTTTCATGGCTGCATAGTATTCCATGGTGTATATGTGCCACATTTGCTTTATCCAATCTATTATTGTTGGGGATTTGGGTTGGTCTTTGCTATTGTGAACAGTGCTGCAATAAACATACGTGTGCATGTGTCTTTATAGTAGAATGATTTATAATCCTTTGGGTATATACCCAGTAATGGGATTGCTGGGTCAAATGGTATTTCTGGTTCCAGATCCTTGAGGAATCACCCACTGTCTTCCACAATGGTTGAACTAATTTACACTCCCACCAACAGTGTAAAAGCATTCCTGTTTCTCCACATCCTCTCCAGCATCTGTTGTTTTCTGACTTTTTAATGATCATCATTCTAACTGACATGAGATGGTATCTCATTGTGGTTTTGATTTGCGTTTCTCTAAAGACCAGTGATGATGAGCATTTTTTCATAAGTTTGTTGGCTGCATAAATGTCTTCTTTTGAGAAGTGTCTGTTCATATCCTTCACCCATTTTTTGATGGGGTTGTTTGTTTTTTTCTTGTAAATGTGTTTAAGTTCTTTGTAGATTCTGGATATTAGCCGTTTTGTCAGATGGATAGATTGCAAAAATTTTCTCCCATTCTGTAGGTTGCCTGTTCACTCTGATGATAGTTTCTTTTGCTGTGAAGACACTCTTTAGTTTAATTAGATCTCGTTTATCTATTTTGGCTTTTGTTCCCATTGCTTTTGGTGTTTTAGTCATGAAGTCTTTGCCCATGCCTATGTCCTGTATGGTATCGCCTAGGTTTTCTTCTAGAGTTTTTATGGTTTTAGGTGTAACATTTAAGTCTTTAATCCATCTTGAGTTAATTTTTGTATAAGGTGGAAGGAAGGGATCTAGTCTCAGCTTTCTGCATATGGCTAGCCGGTTTTCCCAGCACCATTTATTAAATAGGGAATCCTTTCCCCATTTCTTGTTTTTGTCAGGTTTGTCAAAGATCAGATGATTGTACATGTGTGGTGTTATTTCTGAGGCCTCTGTTCTGTTCCATTGGTGTATATATCTGTTTTGGTACCAGTACCATGCCTGGTTACTGTAGCCTTGTAGTATAGTTTGAAGTCAGGTAGCGTGATGCCTCCAGCTAGCCAGACTAATAAACAAGAAAAGAGAGAAGAATCAAATAGACACAATAAAAAATGATAAAGGGGATAACACCACCAATCCCACAGAAATACAAACTACCATCAGTAAATACTATAAACACCTCTATGCAAATAAACTAGAAAATCTAGAAGAAATGGATAAATTCCTGGACACATACACCCTCCCAAGACTAAACCAGGATGAAGTTGAATCTCTGAATAGACCAATAACAAGTGCTGAAATTGAGGCAGTAATTAATAGCCTACCAACCAAAAAAAATCCAGGACCAGATGGATTCACAGCCGAATTCTGCCAGAGGTGCAAAGAGGAGCTGGTACCATTCCTTCTGAAACTATTCCACTCAATAGAAAGAGAGGGAATCCTCCCTAACTCATTTTATGAGGCCAGCATCATCCTGATGTCAAAACCTGGCAGAGACACAACAAAACAAAAAAAAAAGAAATTTTTAGGCCAATATCCCTGATGAACATAGATGCGACAATCCTCAATAAAATACTGGCAAACTGAATCCAGTACATCAAAAAACTTATCCACACATGATCAAGTTGGCTTCATTCCTGGGATGCAAGGCTGGTTCAACATATGCAAATCAATAAACGTAATCCATCACCTAAACAGAACCAATGACAAAAACCAAAGTGTTACTTTTCTAATTTGTATTTTATCCTGTTGTTGTGGCCTTCTTTTCTATTTTATGCTTTAACATTTTTTAGCTCTATACAGGGATCTGGGATTTGGGGTAAGAGGCAGTGGGAGGATTTTTTTTTTTTTTTTTGAGATGGAGTCTTGCTCTGTCACCCAGGCTGGAGTGCATTGGTGTGACCTCCACTCAGTGCAACTTCTGCCTCCCAGGTTCAAGCAGTTCTCCTGCCTCAGCCTCCTGAGTAGCTGGGATTACAGGTGCCTGCCACCATGCCCAGCTAATTTTTGTATTTTTAGTAGAGATGGGGTTTCCCCATGTTGGCTAGGCTGGTCTCGAACTCCTGACCTCAGGTGATCCACCCGTCTTGGCCTCCCAAAGTGCTGGGATTACAGACGTGAGCCACTGCACCTGGCCAGTGGGAGCATTTTAACCCAGCCAACAGGAGTATTATATCGTTGACATTGTCTAGAATTGCTGACACATGGTAATAACAAAAAGCAGGTCAACTTTTGGTTGGGTTTAGCTTTTTACATTCTCTGCAGACAATGCACCTCTGTACCTGGGATGAAATGCTTCTGTTGACCTCTTGGTATGCCACTGGCCTTAATTTAAAATTAAGAGTAAAAGTGCTTCAAATTTCTGTATAGTAAGTTGCCAATTAAAATATATCATTATCTTCATATTTTGTAGGCCAGTGACTACTTCTCAAAAGCTTTAAAATTTGATCCAGAAAATGAATATGTTCTCATGAATCGAGCTATTACAAATACAATATTAAAGAAATATGAAGAAGCAAAAGAAGATTTTGCAAATGTAATTGAAAGCTGTCCCTTTTGGGCTGCAGTATATTTTAATAGAGCACATTTCTACTACTGCTTAAAGCAATATGAACTAGCTGAGGAAGACCTTAATAAAGGTACACTTTTGGTAATTATTCTGGTAAGATTACAGTGGTTGAAGTGATTATTTTTAGGCTACAAAAGAAGAAAATCATTAGGTCTATTTATTTAGATAAACTTACATAAGAATTAGTGTTTTTAGATATCATGTCCTTAATATAATCGATATAGGTTCCTTTATGTAATGTCTTAACTTAAAGCTGTGGTAAACTGAGATATAGGGAATTATTACAAAACTATACACAAACAATGCCAACCTTTCAAAGAAAGACATTGTACTGTGTTTCCCCAAGTTAGTTTGCTTAGAAAGATTCAATATTTTTAATTTAACTAAATAGTTCTGTTTGAAGAAAAGTGTTTTCAAATTAAAAGTATTAAAGTTCTTGATTTCATCCATTGAGTTAATTTTTTTAAAAGTTCTTATCCAATTTTTTTTTGTAAAAAAAGAGACTATTTTTTGAGTGCCAACTTAAATATATCTTGATTTTTTTTCTTTTGCAGCCCTGTCTTTGAAGCCTAATGATGCTCTAGTATATAATTTTAGAGCAAAAGTTCGTGGTAAAATAGGTCTGATTGAGGAAGCTATGGCTGACTATAACCAAGCACTTGATCTTGAAGACTATGCCTCAGTTATATGATTACATAGACTGTGGTTGCTATAGTAGTTTACACAGCTGTTCTCTCTGAAACGGAAACATATTTGTTGTCTAAAAGGTTCTACCATTTTCATTATTGTATTCGTTATGCTTAGTCTTCCATATAACCTTCTATGCATTTTAATAAAATGTTTGTTATACATTAATTATAAAACATATATCATTTGCTGCATATTTGGAATACCTTGAGAACTGAATTTTTCCAAGGTTGCAGAATCTCAAGGAAAATGTTTCTTAAGGAATTAAATAGGAATGTCTCTTAACATTTAAAATATTTTCTTTAATTCTTTTTGAAATAATACTATACATTGTAGAAAAAGTGTCACTGACCTTTTCATCAATCCTTGCTGACAATGTATTAAACAGTATACAGATTAAAAAATAAACCGATGACTATAAAAAACTGAACTCAAGTACAACCCTTCTCTTTTCCTTTAAACAATATGTATACTGGTCAATATTCTTCCTGATACCTATATTCTTCCAACAGACAAACGTGTTTCTCTTTTACATGTGGCCTGCCTTCTAGGACAGTACCTATAAAGATTTTGGACATCATGTTTCCTTGAGATAGTTTCCTCTGCCTCTTTAATGCAGCTATCATAAATACATGTAAAATTTGTATATATTTATAATTCATGCATTGCAGGAGTTGATGAGTGAAAATAAAACAACTAAAAATTATTTATAGAGTGTCTCTGAGGAATCTTTGAATGAACCAGAGAACTCTTTCCCTTTGCCCCACTGATAACAGCAAGGCTTCCTTCTTCCTTTTTTTTTTTTTTTTTTGGAGACAGAGTCTCACTCTGGCCCAGACTGGAGTGCAGTGGTGCTATCCTGGCTCACTGCAACCTCCACCACCCGGGTTCAAGCAATTCTCCTGCCTCAGCCTCCTGAGTAGCTGGGATTACAAGCGTGTGCCACCACACCCAGCTAACTTTGTATATTTAGTAGAGACGGGGTTTCACCATGTTAGCCAGGCTGATCTCGAACTCCCGACCTTGTGCAATCGGCCCGCCTCCACCTCCCAAAGTGCTGGGATTACAGGCATGAGGCACTGCGCCAGGCCCAGCTTCCTAACTTTTAATTTACTCATATTTGCTTCATTTGGTTTGTTTTCCTTCTTGGTTTTATTCTTCCAGTACATCTCCATCTCCTCCGAAACCTGTGTTCACTGTGAGCAGGCGTTTGGAAAGAATACTTCTCTCCACTCAGCTTTCTTTGTTTTTAGTTTGATGTACCAGATTTTCACAATAGAATGTTGCTTTTTATTTAATTAGTTAATTAAGTAATTCTTTTTAAGAGGAAGGATCTTTCTCTGTCGCCCAGGCTGGAATGCAGTGGCATGACCATAGCTCACTGTAGCCTCAATCTCCTCAGCTCAAGTGATCACCCTGCTTCAGCCTCCCAAGTAGCTAGGACTACAGGCATGCAACACCATGCTTGGCTAAATTTTTATTTTTTGTAGAGGCGGGGTCTTGCTATATTGCCAGGCTTGTCTCGAACTCCTGGGCTCAAGTGATTCTCCCATCTTGGCTTCCCAAAGTGTTGGGATTACAGGCGTGAGCCACTGTGCTTAGCCAGAATGTTGATTTTCATTTGTAAGCCACTGTCGGATGCTTCACACTGTTTCAGGAAAATTTTCTTGGTATGGTGTGTGGGTCCATGTGAGGATTAGGTCATCCCTGGTGAGTTATTTCACTTGGTAAATCAGATTAATTTAATAAGCTGCTTCATATCCTCTTGCTCTCACTTATCTTCAGGCCCTTTCATCTCTGCCCCAGCCACAGATGAGATTCAGACAAACCACATGCAGCCACAGACAGCCCCTCGCCTCCCGCCTGTGCCACACGTCACTTGCCGACTGCCCTGGGGCTTCTCTGTTGAATGAGGTGATAGAGGCTGTGGGATTCTCAGTGCCTGCCCCTATGTACTGTGGACGTGCAGGGGACAGTACCTGTCCAATGAACCTTTTTGGTGATGGGAGAAAGGAATTGGTAGATAAATTCTAACCCCTACCATCTCTTCTTGGTGGAATGTCCCGAGACACTGAGTGTACACAGCTCCTTGGAGGATAGTCCTGAGTGATTATGCAATCAGTTGCACTTACTGGTGGCCACTTTCAAAACATACCTCATACTGGTGCTTCTGTCTTCCCTGCCTCACCTTCTCAGTGTCTCTGCTTTCCTGGGATAATACTTCTCGATAAAGTAGTAACACAGAAGCATTTGCCTCGGGGTCTACTTTCTGGGGGGACCCCAAGCTAAGATAGTTAGTAATTTAATATTTTCTTCTAATTGTACACAAATACCTATAACATGAGGCAGGATGTGATAACTATTGGGGAAATGATACAGTCCAAGGGTCATGAGAGCAGAGTAGGACAAAGCATGTCTAACTTTTCAAAATGTCATATGTCCCCTGGCTTATATCCCCTTGGCACCCACAGTTTCTGCATGCACTGACAGAATCCTATTGCAAGCACCTGTGATTTTCCGTGGGAGGCATTTCTTTCTCTCAGTCCATGCCCAGGCCAGGCCTTCTGAAGAGGAGCTAATGACACTAGGAGGAACCTTCAGCTAATGACAGAAGGGAATTAAAGGATAAACTCTCAGCTCCCTTGTCTTTTGAAGGGATAGCTCTCCCTGACTTCCCCAGTGGGATTAAACCCCAGTGGCCCACCGTATAATTTTCTCTATAGCCACACCTTTTGTTGGCTTTTTCCCTTCCCTGTCTTACCTCCCTCTCCTCTGGCAAAGGCAAAAGCATGCTAGGATCTCCTCCCAAGTAAACTACTTGCACTTAAATAAATAAAACCTGTCTCAGGATCTAAGATGGTGGCATTGAGGAAGAGGCATTTAAGCTGGTCCTGAGCAGGGGTAAATGCCCATGGGCAGAGGTGTTGAATAGTAAGACCCTCCATACAGTCTGAACGTCAGGACAGAGATACAGCAGTGGGAAAATAAAGAAGCATATTGTGGACAGCGGCTGGAGTAGAGTTTTTATGAGTAAATGATAGTAGGAAAATAAAGCTATGTAGTCAGAAGGAGATAGAGAAAGAGGGGTTTTTTTCTTAGTCATTTTTTCTCCGTCTGTCTTCACATTAGTAGACTGCGGATATTTTAGCATCGCCGATAAAATTGGACTTATGAAAATTGACCAGTACTCTATGGAAAAACGTTTACCTTGTCCCGTATGTGCTCCACTCTGACAGTTGGAAGATCCAGGGCAGATAAAGGGAAGGATAGCAGGATGAAGGAAGGATTGAGAGGATGGAGAACAAGGAAGAAAGTAGCTTCAGGAGGTCACAGGATCTAAATGAGGCACTCATACCCTAAGGGAAAAGGAAAAGGATGCCTAGACTTCATCTTTTCTAATTAGCTTTGCTTGGTTTTGATCCCTTCAGCAGGTTCCCTGAGTCTACATGCCTCTCACTTTTGTAGGACTTACTGGTTGGGTTTCATTTATTTACAATAAGTACACAAACACACAGGACTTCGACTGATGATTATCTCTGGGAGGTAAAATTGGAGGGAGAACGGAGAAAGGAAGAAGATTTTTTATTTTGTTTTATTAAAATTTTTTACACATCAAGATGAAAGAGGAGTAGTGGAATTATAGATGACTTTTTCAACTGTATGCACTTCTGTAATTTTTAGTGTTTTTTTTTTTGGTTGTGTTTTTTTTTTTTTTTACTAGAATATAAGCTTTATAAAGACAGGAATTTTGTCTGTTTTGTTAAGTGCTGTATCTCCAATGCCTGTAGTGCCTGGCAGCTAATTTATGCTCACAAAATATTTGTTAAATAATACACAAATTACAAATACCAGGGATCACCATTATTGTATAGATATTGTGGTGTGAATTATTTGCTTGTCATATGCCCTTCCGACTTCTTGCATGCCTTCCATAAGACAGAGACTGAGAGCTAAAAGTTTTGTCTCCCAAATCTCATTGCAGCTAGCAGAGTTCCTGATGTGATTTAGTTTCTGCCAGTTTGATGCAGTCTGATGAGGCTGAATTGAGGCAGTATCATCCAAAGCACCCTTCTGCTCATGCTAAAACAATTGGCTAGAGTAGAGTTGTCAGATTTAGCAAATAAAAATATAGAATACCTGTAGTATGGTTTGGATTTGTCCCTTCCAAATCTTATGTTGAAATGTGATCTCCAATGTTGGAGGTGGGACCTGGTGGGAGGTGATTGGATCATGGGTACAGATCCCTCACGAAGGGTTTAGCACCACCTTTTTGGTGATGAGTGAGTTCTACCTCAGTTAGTTTACTGGAGAGCTGATTGTTTAAAAGAACCTGACTCCTCTTCCTCCCTTTCCTGTTCCTGCTCTCACCATGTGCCTGCTGGCACTTCACCTTCCCTGATGATTGTAAGTTTCCTAAGGCCCTCACTAGAAGCTGAGCAAATGTTGGCGCCCTGCTTGTAAAGCCTGCAGAACTGTGGGCTGATTAAATCTCTTTGTAAGTTATCCAGTATCAGGCATTCTTTGTAATAACACAAAAAACTGACTAATACAATCTGGTTAAATTAGAATTTCAGACAAATTATGAATAATTCAGGGCTCCCAGTTAAACACAGGGCACTCAGTTAAATTTGAATTTCAAGTCAACAAGATTTTTTTAGTATAAGTATATCCTATTACATGGGACATACTTATACTAAAAATTATTCTGAAATTTAGTGTCAGAAAAACATTTCCAAAAGAAAATGTTGTTGATCAGAAATTCAAATTCAAACGGGCATCCTGTGTCTTATCTGGCAATCCTGCTCTGGAGCCAGCCATCTGGCCATGGCTTCTGACCTTAGATGGGTCGTATGTTTCCCTGGAGCCTACAGTTGCTGTGCCCATTTCTTTATTTTCAAGCTTCCTCTCTGGCAGAGCAGCAGCTCCCCCAGTTTGGCCAGTCTTGTGTTGCTCTTCTGGGGGCCAAGCCTAGACCCTGCTTCTCTAGATTTTCCAAAGATGTGAGCACCCATGTCCTTGTAGGAAACCCCTTTCTTTGTAAAAGAACTAGATTGCCTTTTGTTATCTATAGCTGAACTCCCACTGATACTTTTCTGTTTCCAAGATGTTTTTTTTTTTCTAATTTAGAGCTTTATTTTTCATTTGACATGGATGAGAGTCTCTTTTCTGCAATTTGGCATTTCTATAGTTTGGTCATGGGCAGAAGAATATATTAGAACTAAAAACTAATAATCACAATATTTAGCACTTAGAGGTATAGCATTCCATGCCTCACCTGTGTTGCCTCTACTTTCTCTGTAGCCTTGTAAGGTAGGTAGGTATCATTAGATGAGGAGACTAAGGCTCAGAAGGATTGAGTTGTATGATTGGGGTCACATAGCTAGTGAGTGGTGGGGTTGAGGTTGAAATCCTGTTCTAGTGCCTGCTCTGCACTTCCTGCTCCTGTTCACCTGGAAAAAAACCAAGGCAAGATAAATGCATGTTCTATTAAACAATCTTTATTATAATGATATTAAAGCTCTTTGGCTTCCTAATGATTTTTTTGTGAAGAAAAAGGATTTCCAGTCTTTCACACTTTTTTTTTGTACTAGCTTATATTTGTACTAGCTTATATTGTACTAGCCAATATATTTTCTTAAATTGACTTGCTAGTATTAATTGAATTTATTTTCAAAGAAGGAATTTGTAAAAGTAAATGCATGACTATTGAAAATTTGTTCTACATAAAATCATCTCATTTTATTCCAGTCATATTATATTTTTGGAAACATTGTACTTCACAGTATTATTGTTTGATGGGTATAGCTAGAAGAGTAATCAGAGTGCGGGAGGGAAGAACATCAAATGCCAGCTGAGATGGGTGAGGGAAAGAGAATGAACAAGAAACATAAGGTGACTGCCAGGGCAGACAGGTCAGAGTCAGAAGCAATAATAGCCTTTAACTTTGAGAGTCCCAGTCTACATTCTTAGTGTGTTGTAACAGTAAGATCTTACTCCCAGAGCTTCTCCAATGTCACAAAAAAGTTTTGTTAGTCAAAGCCTTGGACCCATTGATTTCCAAAAATAACAGGAATCTTAATGACCATTCACGATGAGGTACCAGACTTTGTTCAAAATCTCTTCCTCTTCTCACTCATCTTTGCCTGGCTAATTTATTCTCAGGAAGGGCCTTATTTCCCTATCTAGGAGGGTGGCTTAGATCTTTTGTTATATGTTCCCACAGCACTGTCACCTTCTCTTTGGGAATGCCCTTCACATCTGTGTATCCTTGTTTAATGGTTGTCTTCCTCACCAGACTGGAAACTCTTTCTCACCAGACTGGAAACTCAGATTATGTATATCTGTTCACCACTGCATCACCAATGCTTATCACAGTTCCTGGCATATAGCAGGTGCTTCATAAACATTTGATGTGTTTATTTAAGGAAAAGACAGGTATGGACACTCACACAGGACTTTGTGACCCAATACACTACAGATATATGTTTTACTATTCATTTATACAGTAAAGTGAGCATCCTTTGAGATTTCAGGCAAGCCGTGACAAAGCAGTGACTGCCTGCATCCTCAGTACTTTTATTTAACAGTTCATCCTTAGTGTCCACATAGCTTTAACTATGCCTAACTTACACACACACACACACACACACACACACACACACACACACACACACACACACGGCATCCTTAGGATCAGAAGATAAGATTAACCGTGAAAAATGAAGTTTCAAGGAAAATCAAGACATAATGCATGAATCAACCTGCTATAAAAACACTCAAAGGATTAGTCAACCAGTAGTAGCTGAAAACAAAACTCTGTCAAGGTGACAAGGTTGTAATGTCTGAAACAATGATGTATCAACATCTCAACCTAATCATTGTACTCTTTATAATTGGATGATGACATAACATAATCAAGTTGTAACCCAGTAAAGTCGAGTGCATATGAGACCATGCAGATTTTTAATTTCTATGCTTTCTTAAGAAAGGTTGTACTAATCAAAGGGGCATGGTGGGTGTGGAACTTAGAATAGGAGGAGGAGGGAATGATCAGAGTGTAAACATTTATATGCATGTTTCTGGTTCTGTCTGCTGAACAGATTCTCTAAACAGTGCACAGGAACATTCTGATCTTTTGACCTCTTCCCAGTTGGTAAATTTCCATCAAGTATGTGGAACATACCATTGTCATAGCTTTAATTCACTAAACCAACAAGGCAATTCAACAACTTCTTTTCCTGATTCTATTCTATCCAAGAAGTCTTCCAATGATAATTTGGTTTTACATATGGATATGCAGAACAGTATATGTAGTGAAGTAAGCTTCCATTTTATTGTAAAATAAAATCATACATATGCAGAATATATTACATTTTCATATAAAGCCTTAAATGAGTTTCATACATCAGACTTTAACAATGAGTGCCTGTAGAGAATGGGATTGATGGTGTAGAGTTCATTGGTAGAAGCTGCGTGAGAATTTTAAGAGATCCTCAGTTTGATTTTTTTTTAACTTTTGACACTTCTGCATTCTCTGATTTATGTATTTTTAAATCATTGAGCACAACTTAGTTTTATAATAGGAAAAATATAAAATTATCCGCCTCCCAAGTTAAAATAGCTTACTCGAGGCAACATTTCAGACTCTAAAAGTCCCACATTGCCTTTTTCCATGTATGCCTGCAGTAGACTCTGAGCTAGAGCTGGCAGAGCAGGAGTCGTTCAGAGGTCCCACTGGTCTAGGAAGGTTCTGTCCACAAAGCATCGCAGGTCCATGTTTGCATGATGACCATCTCTTGGGAAGAACCTAGCCTTAAAAATATTTTTCTAAAATACATAGGGTAATGACCATAGTCACTTAAGTTTCTGAGGAAAATATGAAACTTACTACCTAAACCTGTGAGTCAATTGAGGTCTTTTATCTTCCCAGGACTACAATTTTAATTTATCTGCAGAATGATCTGTTCATTTGCATGTGCTTGTTTGATGATTTTGCTTTGCTTTAGAGCTGTTACTTCTCTGAAAATAAAAAGATCTCCAAAGCCTCTGATAGAAAGAAAAAAGGATAATCACTGAAAACTTTGTCTTAACGTATCTATCAACTTTATGACACAAATTTTAAAAGAGAAAAGAATCTTGGGAGGCCAGTGGTTTATGCTGATAATACCTGTAATTTTTCAACGTGACTTAAAAGCAATAAATCACTAAGTGGAAAAAGCATCATTTACATTTCAAATACAAATATACTCCTTAATCTTACTTCAATTGGTTAATAGGTTAGACAATTCAATTTATTGCGTATATATAAAGTATCATATGATTTTACATATAAAGTATGTTATTTTATGTATATATTATATAAAACCACATGACACTTTAAAGTACAATTTGTACTTATATGGTTGTAAGACTTAAGGGAAAGATTCCTAATTGTTTTGTATGAAGCATTGCTTTTTTTCTGTAACCTTCCCATAGAAGACCTGTGTAAGTCTACAAATCGACTTATATTTAAAGAAAGAAAAAGTAATTGGGAATTTAACTTAATATTTATGTCAGTCTTGCATTTATGTCATTCTTCCATTCTTAGTATTTATGTCATTATTACTCTTACCCAGTAGTAATTTTGTTAAAAAGCTTGTTATAAACCACTAAATGCTGAATTTATTAGATTGGGAGAGCATCATTTAGGAATGTTTGCTTTATAAGTCAGGAACAAATCTCTCTTTTGAATGTGAAGACCAAGATAAGAATTTTAGTATCTAAGTTAAGGTGTTTTATTCTGCAAAAAATAGAGATGAGGTCTTCTTTCCTTAAAAATGATAGAGCAATGATTTTTATTAAAGTCTTGGAGTCCTATTCAGAAAATTGACAAATTCTGTAGTAGAACTCTGTGCCTTTGAAATGTGGGAGACATCTCACCACAACTTCTCCATGTATAATTTATCCTGAATAATGTATGAGTTGTGTAATAGCCCTGCAGCACATTCTCATCTTCACAGATTACTGACTTCTCTAGTATTGCATCTTCTGCTTTCCATTCCTGTGCTGTGTGTTTACTATATGAAGTCTTTGATGGCGAGCAGAAAAGGTGGGAGAAGAATATTTGAGAACTGAAAATCCTTGGCAATCCAGGAAATAGTTTAATATACTAGACTTCTCATTGTAGCTTGGTAATGAAAATGTGATTTTTGCATAGAACTTGCCTCTAGAGTTTTGGAAACTGGGATTTCTTTACAACTCGGGAAATAAGTGAGTAGCCGAAGAGTATCAGCTTAACTTCAGGAATGTTAAAGGGGGTACTGGCATAGGGCACTGGGAGGGTTGAGAGGGAAGAGAAATTTAAGTTATTTAACTGGAAAGTAATTTAAAATATTTTTACATCAAAAGATACAGCTATGTCATGGGATAGAATTTTAAAAATTCACATGAATCTTAGTGGTAAGGCACAGGGCTTTGTAGACATTTCTCCTTTTTGGGTGGCTGCTTTGGGATATGCCACAGACCCACAGGCTGGCATTCACTCCGCTAAGGACCATGAGACAACAGCAGCCTCTGCCACCCCAGTCCCTCATCAGCACTGTTTTCTGAAGCCCCTTCAACAGCAAGTGCCCACCGGATCCTCCCAACGAGCTGTTAGCCCATTTTGCAGATGAGAAAAACTTGGGTACAGAAAGATTAGGTGGCTTATTGAGGTCCCGCATATAAGGACAGAGCCACAATACAACCCAGGCTACCTGCAAAACACCATTTCAGGAAAGCTTTGGAATGGAAAATACCAATAAAGCAAGATTTAAAAACCCTGAAGCCCTCTCTTGCAAGTTTTTATTTAAACGATTCTAATAGAATGCATTCTTGACCAGACGTAGAGTAATTCATTTCTCAAAGTACTTTCAATGATACATGTATTTTTTAATTAGTATTTTAAGTGCCATCTTCATGTCTACTTAGATTCATTCTATGCTATATAAAATATGGGAAATAATAAAAACACTTAAGCACTTACTAAATGTCAAGACCTTTTCTAAATGCTGTATGTGTACTATCTCTTTAATTACTGCAACCACTCTATGAAGCTGTTATGATTAATATCCCCATTTCATAGATGAGAAAATGGCAGTAGAGAGAGGCAGGGTTATTTGCCTAAAGCAAAATGTGTAGTAAGAGGTGAGGTGGAACAATTTGACTCCAGGACCTCTGCTTTACCATGATCCTAAACGGCATAAGGAGAAAAAGGACGGAGGCCCCCGTCCTGTACAAAGGAGGTGACTGTCAGCGGCTTCCAGGCCTCAAGGAAATCTGTGCCCTGGAAATTCTATCTCTTGGCACCCCAGAAATTTTATGTCTCCTTGAGGACTTCAGGAACTTTATGTTTCATCCTGTGTTTGAAATAGCCTAAACCCAAAGTGGCCGATTCAATTTTGCTTTAAAATGAGGAAGATTAGAGGATAAAACACAACCTTAAAACCAAATAATTAACTTCACAATGCTGTAGGGTTATAGCTACTGCTAAGCCAGAACTTTATTTTCTAGATGCTAAGTCACTCTGAGATTTATCCCTGAAAGTTTATAGGAAAAAGAAAGGAATCTCTGAGAGGAAATAGCTAATGCTGACTGGGTGCTCAAACAGGACAGGGGTTTAAGAGTAATTTTTGCCATTAAGCTCTCCTGTAACCCACAAGCAATAAATGACAGTCTTTTAAAAACGACAACGGCTTATCGAATTCTTGGGCACCACACAGGAAAGAACTCGATCAATTTCTCTACACTTGTAATGTCAAGAGGAGTCATACTCTAGACCTCTGTTATAAAAGAGGAATTGTTTATGGCTATTGAAAAATCCTTGTGGAACTGTCCATCAAACTTTATGAAATATGTGAGTTACTTAGGTATCAGCTTTCTGGATCTAATTTTCTTTCCAGAGCATTTGGAATCAAACCTTTTTCTTACTGGCTGGTTTCACACTGCTAAACATTGAGCAGTTTTACTCTTTTCTCTCCTCTCCTACCTGTTTTTATTGACTCTCTTCCTATCCTTTTTTCTTTTCTTCATCTCCTATTCTGAGATGAAGAAACTCTTACTTTTTCTCAAAATGGAGTCTGTGGTCCACCTGTGTCAGAGAAGGCTGGGATGCTTACTAAAATTTCAAATTTCAGGCCTTACCTCAACTGTACTAACTCAGATTTTTTGGGAGTGGTACCCAAGAAACTGAATTTCAGTAAGCTCCCAAGGAGATTCCTATTCACATTGAAATAGAGAAGGTCTGATTTAGTGGTTTTCAAACTTAACTGTTGTGGAGGGCTTGTTAAAAACACAGATGTCTAGGCCTTGCCCCAGAGTTTCTGATTCAGGAGGTCCTGGGTAGACCTGGGGCTTGCATTTCTATAGGGTTCCTGGGTGATGCTAATGCCGCTGCTGTTTTGAAAACCCCACTTTAAGAACTCTAGAGCTTTGAGAACCTCTAATCTAATCTTTGAAGTTCTGAAAAAAACTTTTAAATAAAACATAACCTAAAATGTTGAGTGTTAACTATTTTAGTTGTAAAAATAAAAACATTACAAAAACACCTACATTTCTACCTGTACCTCTGTGTGTATCATTCCTCACTCTCCATCTCTACATATTGAACCCTGCTCATCTCAGAGGGTGATAGTCCTGATATGGGCTGGCTCTGTGTCCCCACCTGAATGTTATCTAGAATAGTAGTCCCCACGTGCTGAGGGAGGGAGGTGATTGGATTGTGGGTGTGGTTTCCCCATGGTGCTCTCCTGATAGTGAGTGAATTCTTACGAGATCTGACGGTTTAAAAGTGTTTGGCAGTCCCCTCCTTGCACGCTGTCTCTCCTGCCGCCTTGTGAAGAAGGTGCTTGCTTCCCCTTCACCTTCCAGCATGACTGTAAGTTTCCTGAGGCTTCCCAAGCCATGTGGAATTGTGGGCCAGTGAAAACTCTTTCCTTTATAAATTACCTTGTCTCAGGCAGTTTTTACAGCGGTGTGAAAGTGGTCTAATAGAGTCCTCCTCCAGGAGACCATCCTTGATTCGTACAACAAATGTGTGTCATCTCTCTCCTCAGCCCCAACCCCCACACTGGCTTTCTACTTCTTTGTGGACACTGATTCCCTTCTACATGGGTGTGCAGTTGTTTGTGTTTGGGAGAAGATGTTTCATCTTTCCTACCATATTGCAAGCTCCTAAACACAAGGTTTTTGCCTTTTAAATTCTGTTTTGCCCTGCAGTATATAGAGTAGTCCTAGGCACTTTGGTGATGCTCAACAGATGTTTGAGTAAGAATAAATGAATGCTTTAGTGGGTGAAGGGTGCATTTAATTCCTTTAAATTAGAGCTAGACTATTAAGGTTTCATATCTTCCACCTGAAGGATCCTTCCACCTGAAGGATCTTTCTTCACAAGAGTGATGGCCATTCTTTTCTTTCATTTGACTGAGAAGGTAGGTAGTGTTTGGGATGAGCCCCCTTATAGAAAAACTTATTAAACTCCAAGGAACTCTCCAATAAGGTGTTGAGGCCTTGTTCTGGTATCTTAGAAAGATTTTCCTACTCTCTATGTAAAGTGTGTTTCCTGCCTCACCTGAGAACATGTTACAAATGCAGCATCCGGGGTCCTACCCCAGACCTCCTGAATGAGAATCTGCAGGTGACGTGTATGTGCATTCATGTTTGAGAAGCGGTGCACTAAGAAGTTTCTTTCTTTGATTGAAAAAAGTACTTAAAATAGTACTCAAGTCAGTCCTTGACATTTTTGGTGATTATAAGTTTGTTAATTTTTTTTTGTTTGTTTTACAAGACACTCTGTGGTAACTGGGAGTTCTGCCGAGGGTTTGTGACCATCATCAAAGATTCTTATTAAATGGGCATCATTTTATGTTAGACATATTAAAGAAACATAATTAATCTGAGCTTTGCCACAAAACCAGACATCATTGATGTGGGCAAGCATATATTAAGACATAATTAAACATACGAAGCCTATAGACGCAGCATCAATACAACATGGGTGGATTTGTTTTTGAAATTTTTGTTATTCATCCTCTGTAATCTGTATTTCTTTGATTTCAGAGTTTTCAAAACAATATATTTTTAGCTACTTGTCTATAAAAATTTGGTATTAAACTAAACAGAAATTTAGTAACCTGGGCTGGTTTTATAAAGATTGATATTCCTGAGTACCTTTTGAATCTATCTCAATTTGTAATGAAAAAGAATAAAAATTCTGTCATATGGAAAACTAGTTATGCTATGTGGTACCCATTTTTGACTTTAATTTATGGTATAACCCATGTATAATGGATCAGGCATCAAAGGCATAATTAACAGTTTGAAGTAAATTCTGAAAAATAAGGAAAAGTGCTTATATGCTTTGTATTAAAATGTTTACTCATAATTTAGAGTTCAGAGTATGCCATTATTATACAAATATAAAAACATTCATTTAAGCTTATTTGAGATTCCTGTACTTAGAATATTGATCCTTCCTGCTTTTCAGTGCATGGATTATGCAATATTTAATGTGTGAGGCTTACGTGGGATATAAACTTTCTTGGTTAATAAGATCTCTTTCCTTTTATGACAGTTGCGATTCTGGTAATATGCTCATTAGAAAGGTCAGAGTGGCTGATTTGAAAATGTGTTCAGTACTGGGATGAGTATATTGGCAAGGCTTTTGAATGAGTTTGGGAACTTTATATGTCTTGTTCATAACTGTGCTCTTTTTCATTTCTCTGGGAGGTTTTATGTGACATAATTTAGCCAAAGAAGAGCAGTGTCATTAAAAAGCTATTTAAGATATGGATAGTATTACCAGCTGTAAACATTCTGCTTTCATAGGACCAAAAGCTTTAGAATAAGTGAACATAGCAGTTAATTATAAGCATATCTTTTTCCATTTTACATAATATTATAGGATTTGGATGAGTTATTTCTTTAGTGTTGAAGACTGTACTTTTAAATGTTCTACTTCCTAGCTATATCATTGCTGTTAAACTTCCAGCACACAATAATCAATATATTATTCACATTAACAATAATTTTGTTTCACTGAAACTGTCTTTGAGATTGAAAACAACCAATGCATGCTATCATTTCAGAATACAATAAAATGACCATGTTCATTATAAACAGATACAAAACAATACACATCTCTTCTTAATGGGAACATAAAATCCTTTTCAAATTTGATATGTACTTTTCTAAGTTATATGAAGATTAGCATTGTAAACAGTCAAGTTTCTTATAAGCTTTATTTCCCCTTGGGGAATTTCACTTTCTTTTTCTTCTTTCTTTCCTCAACAAAATCCCAATAATTTCTAAATCAATAATGGAGCGGCCAGCTCATAGTAGGCATTTGATGTGTGTCTGTTGAAATTTGTATTTGGGGAAAAATTTTGATCCTTTAAAAAAGAAAGGTTTTAAAATGCAGACATGGGTTTCAGCAAATCGCAACAAAAAGTCAATGCTAACAGCCAGGATATGGAAGGTAGTTATGTATGTTTTATATCAGTAATAACTAACATGCCTTTTAGTCTTGTATTATTGTGCTTTAATGTTTAGAATAATAAACTTCTACATAAATGCATATAAGTATATAAGTTCCTTGATCTCCCTATATGTCAGTTTTCTGAATCGAAGCAAATTAGCAGTAAAATAAGGCTGTTTCCAGAGATGAAATAGTTCAAAAGACTAAGGCACTTCTTTTTTTTTTTTTTTTTGTAAAGTACGTATCTGGACTTAGGTTTAGAATTGCATGTCTGGAAAAACTATTCATAATCTGCTTTTCTCTCCTTTTCTTTTATTTTTGCCTGTATTTATTTTGGCCAGCTGGTGAGACAGATCTTTTTCAGGGCTCAGCCTTCCAGTCTGAGCGTGGTTCTCCAAAACCAATCTTTGGATTAAATTCCTGTTTTATTCTCTCTGGTGTCTGAACAGTGTTGATGTCAGGGGGCCATGGTGACCCAGTTGTCTGTCCCAAGTGGCTGGTGGCTTGCCAAGTAAAGAGCTTAACTAGGCGGCCACACACTGTTGCATAGTATTGCACCTTAACTAAGCGGCGGCCACACACTCTTGCACCTGGGGAAGGAGGTTGGGGTAGAATCCTTGGTCAATCTGTCTTACCTTTGTGTCTCTCATGTCAGTTGTCTTGTATGAAGGTAGACACAGAGGTCTCCTGATAAAATAAATGGTCCTTTACTCCCTTCCTAGTGTGGCTTTCACCTTGTCTCTAGTCTTGTCAGTACATCTGATGGGCTCACACAAAGATTGATCTGAGGAGGCTGGGGCTTAAAAGTTATCCTTGTCCTGAAAATATTCCATGGCTTTGATTCTGGGGGAAAATGGTAAAATTTGGTTCCATTCTCCGTATAATTTGTTCTAATACGGTTTGAAGATCTTTAGTTAAGTTTGGGCTCTAAGCATCACAGTCAGCCTGAGAAATGACCTTTCTTCTCAGAGGTTCTGGAATTCCAGACCTAGGCATCCCCTGACAAAATCAGATGGGGTGTATTGACTGGGAACCAATTTTCATTTGGGGTTGGGCAGGCTTAACAAGTGGCTAGTTCCCTTCTCTGTCAGCTGTAACACTGGCACATGAACACAGAAGATTTAAAGGGGTCTATACCTCACAGTACTATAACCTTGAATGTGAAGGTCTCAGCTGATGTTGTCACAAAACAGACAGGCTACAATTGAAACCCTTGAGCACCTCTCCCCTCCCTCTTATCCTCCCTCCGCCTCCTTCCTCCCTCCCTTCCTCCCTTTTTCCCTTACTCTCTTCCTCCCTCCCTCCTTTCCTTCCTCCCTTCCTCCTCTCCTCCCTTCTTCCCTGCCTCCCTTCCTTCCTCCCATGTGCTCACTACATACAAAATGGCCACTTTCAGCTTCCCCTGCTTGGGATCAATGAGGCAACCTGGTATGGTAGAAAGGCAACAGAAAGGTCTGGGTGTCAGAATGAGGCTTCGTAGTCATGTCTCTACTAGCTATGTGACTTCAGTTAACTGCTCTGAACCTATTTTCTTATCTGCAGCATAGGCCTTCAAGTCCCTTCTAGCCTTAAGGTCTATGGGTTTGATGGGAATAATATTACCTGCCTACCTGACTGAGTTGTTGTGGGAATTAAAGGAGATCATATTTATGAAACTACTCTTTAAACCCTCTACAAAAGATTAAGCAATATGATACTATTAATTCCCTCTGAAGAATCAAAATAGCTTGCAATTTACTTTTAATCTTCAAGATTGTGTACATATATCTTTTGTATTTAGACCTTTAATGATGTGTACCATAATGCAGGACAAATGAACAGACTAATCTCTCTCTCACTAGATGTTACTCCAAGTCACATTCTAAAGCAGTGGGTTGGAGGGAGGAACTATTTTTATTTTTTTGAAAACAGAGATAAAATTAATCCCAGGTACACAGGGTTCTGGACTTTTTTTTTCCTACTCCTTTCAAAGTTCTGAGAAGCAGTTTACTCTTTCACACTAGAGATTGCTTAAATAGAGCTGGGGACTCAACATTGTTGGGGAGGAATAAGCTGTAGTCCAGAAGTGCCCACAGCCAGGGAACCCAGTTAGAAGTGAGGGACGGTGAGTGGTGGCTGCAGGCAAGACACACTCAGAGCCCAAAGGGAAGTAATGGTAACCTTTGTACCTGGCTGTCACTGTTGAGACACAGCAGTAGCATTATATTAGGTCCTCTATCCTCTTGTGATAGTAAAAGAGTATTTTTTATAGTTCCAGTTCAAAGAGTGACAAAGAAACTAAAATGTCCCAAATATTTTAAATCTGTCTCTATCTATCTATCTATCTATCTATCTATCTATCTATCTATCTATCTATCTATCTATCTTATGTATGTACGTATCTATCTATCTAGTCTGTCCATCTATCTAGTCTGTCTGTCTGTCTACCTACCTACCTATTTGTCTACCTACCTAATTTGGATGTAGCTGAGAGTAGCATAGAAAAAAAATAAGACTACTCGAGGCTCTGAATTGTTCCATAATTGCGCATGCTTCTGAGTCATCTTTCCATCTAGATTGTATGTTCCTTGAGGGCAGGAACTATGTCTTAGGCTCTTTTCATGTCCCTCCCTTACCCTAATAGCATTGGACTCAGTCCTCAGCTCATCACAGGTGTTTGATAACTCCTATTGATGAAGAAGAGGTGGCTGGCAGACAGAAAGAGAGGGGAGGTGGGAACTCCCATTCTTCCTCTCGTTCTCTGTGTCCTTGAGTTTTGAGCTCATGGTTAAAGCTGAGAATTAAGCACTGCCCTTACAACTGCTAGGTAAGCTCAGTAAGGTGTTGCAAGGTGGTGCAAAGGGCCCTGGGAGGAGGGTCCCAGTTGCCCACCCTTTGTCCACTGCTTTGTGATGAATTCTAGATCACCTTGTGGTTACCTGCCTATTAGGAGGTGCTGTTGAAAAGCGACTTTAAAAAAATAGGACTTTGGGAGAGTGGGGCAGATCAAATGAAGGGACCAGCAGTGTTCATAATGGTGCTGAAATTTAATTTCAGTGCTGACCTTTTATTTGACATTTTAGATAATGCTATGGATGTGCTCAGCTATTTGTTCTTAACATATTTTCCATCTTTTGGGGGCACTAATCTACTTAAATTCAAAGTCAACAAAAGAATAGAGTAAATTTTTTGGCTTTACAAATCACCCTTTTGAAAAAAGAGTTCATTCACAATAGCAACAAAATATGCAACATGTATGAATTAAATGTTCACAACTATGAAAGAGTGTAAAACTATGAAGGGGCAAAAAAATTAGAAAGATCATGTTCTGAGGTGGGAACAGTGCTAATTATTATATGATTAATATATAGGTGCTAATTATTCCACATTAATATATGGAGTTTAAAATTCTATTAAAAATCTTAATGAGTTACATTTTTTAGAACTTGACAACAGAATTCAAAAGTCTGCCTAGACGAATAAATTGATCAGATTGAAAAATGCTTAAAAGCTTGAAAACACTAAAAACTAATGAGGCCGTGGAGTGATAGAAACCCTGCTTATAGGAAGGTAAATGTACAAGCACTTTGGAGAACAACTGGGCAATACCTACTATGAAGTTGAAGATGTATACATCCGACAGCCCAGCGAGTTACTCAAGAGATCTTTCCACATGTTTATGGAGATAGGAACAAGAATGTTTTACAGCAAAAGAAACTACATAAAACCTTTTATACAAGGCTATGGGCAAATAATTTAAACAATACATTTCATTCATACAATGGAATATTATAAAGCAGTGAAAATGAAGGAACTGGAGCTACATATATAAATTGCACAAACATTGAACAGCAACAAAAAATAGGAAACAGGATATTTTCATTTACTTATAAGAAGTTTTTTAAAAATGCTAAACAAGTGTATATATTGTTTAGAAATATGTGTGTAGTCAGGGTATAAATAAACTCGAGAAAGATAAATGTCAAGGACAGTGACAGGATAGTAAGAAGCTCTTTTTTACTGGGGGAAGTGATTTGGGAAGTGTACACAAAGACATCAACTGTACTGCTAATGCTGAGGAATGGAATTCTGATTAACAGAAAAAATAGAAAATCTTCAGTCTGATTCATATCATCTATAAATTTTGGCATGCAATTAAATGTAGGAAACAGTAAAAAGGGATGGAATTTTTGCTAAGTAGTGTTGGGACAACTGGATAGCTATTTGCAAAACACATAGGGAAAAACCATTACTTTATCACCATATAACAAAATAAATTTCAACTGGATTAAAGAAATTTACATGCCAAATTCATAAGAACAGTATAAAAAACTTTGAGAATATTTATATAATCTTGAGCACGCTAGATTTTAAAAACTTGACACCAAATCCAGAAATTAAAAAAGATAAAGGTGGATTGATTTGACCATGTACAAATTTATTTTTTTGTATCAAAATGCTACAAAAATAGTAAAAACAGATATTAAAAAGTTTACATTTGCAGCATATGTATAAAGAGTTGTCAAGAATGAAAAAGCCCAAATATCAAATATATGAATTTTCTGGTGAAGGCTATAACTGAAAAAGGAAGAAATCACATGAATAATATGCATTATAAAATTTTTAAAATCAGTAATTAAAGACAAATTAAACCATAACTTTCACCTAGCAAATTAGCAAATAATAAAACATAATCATAATATCCAGTGTTCAAGAAAATCACCTCCCATTCATTGCAGAAAGGATATTAAATTGGTCTTAGGATTTTCACAAGCTTTGTCAGTATTCATCAAAAACCTTTAAAATATGCCTCCTGTTTGACCTAAGAATTATACTTCTATAAATTTGTCCTAAGAAAACTAAAAATTTAAGCAAGTATTTAGATATGGTCATGCTTATCAAGTTCTGTTTTTAAAATTGAAACATTGGAAGCCATCTAAAGGTACAAAAGCATACAGGTTAATGAATTATGGAATATTTATAAAATGAAATGTTATTTCTCTAGTAAAAAGTACATTATCTCTGAATGGTGGAATTAAGATGTTTATTTTTCTTAATTTTGTTTATATATTTTAAAAATAATTTGCTAAAATAAAGATGTTTTCTATAATTTTGAAAAGACAAAAGCCTTACACTTAATTTTTAAGTCCCTCTTTTTATTGTTAAACTGTAAAGCAATTCTGAAGCTAAAAGCAAATATTCATGAACTGCTGTAAGAGCCATAGAAGCATTTTCTATAGATAGAGATTATTACGTTACAGTACAACTAATATATGTTGGCTAGATTTCATGGAGTAGTGACCACCATTACCATTTCATATTCTTAAGAAGCATGTGAAATATAGTATATTGAGTTTATTTCATGTTTAATGCCTCAAAATAAGACTCACAGTGTCTGTGTGCTACTATTATTAGTTTTACATAATTAGCAAGGAAAATAGCCCTATAGAAGATAAAGATATTTTGATGATGTTATAAGTTATTTGAGTAAATTAAGAATATACACCTGGAGTTGTAGGCTATGAAAGATGGCCCCTACCCAGTGCATCTGAGATGGGAAGAGATTGTGGGGCCATCAGAAAGCCTCCCTGGAGGTCATTCTCCTTGGTAAGAGTGGTTGGGAAGCATTTTATTCTGCCCCGCCCCTCCCTCTAGCAGGCAGACTTTCTTAATTATGATTGATGTAGGTGTCATTTATGTGAACTTTTACTCTCTGAGCACACAACACAGCTGGTAGGCTGAGAGAGTATTCTGGGCAGTAGGAAGAATTACCTTTGGGATTAAAAACCGGATTTTCTTCCTTGTTCATGCTACTGAATATTACTGTTGATAAGAGTTACTATAAAGTTTGATTGTGAACTCGGCCCTGCTGACAAGAGTTTTCTTGGCCATTAAGCAAGGATTAACCTTCCTGAAGTAATTATCTGATCAAGTCACCCTTCTGCTAAGGAATTTTTCATGATTTCCATTACTTTATGATCTGAAAATCAGATTCCTTGATCTGGCACCCTTGGCCCTCCGTTTCCTGACTATCCCACTTTCTGACCACATTTTCCACTATTTCCTATACATCATTGCCCAGGCACATGGAACCATCTACTTTCTTTAAAATGTAGGTCCAATGTTTTTTTCCTCCTCAATATCATCACTCACACTGTTTCTCCTTGAGAATGCCTTCTGCACCATCTTTGCGTGTACTACTTTTTTTTTTTTTATTATACTTTAAGTTCTAGGGTACATGTGCATATTGTGCAGGTTAGTTACATATGTATACATGTGCCATGCTGGTGCGCTGCACCCACTGACTCGTCATCTAGCATTAGGTATATCTCCCACTGCTATCCCTCCCCCCTCCCCCCACCCCACAACAGTCCCCAGAGTGTGATATTCCCCTTCCTGTGTCCATGTGATCTCATTGTTCAATTCCCACCTATGAGTGAGAATATGCGGTGTTTGGTTTTTTGTTCTTGCAATAGTTTACTGACAATAATGATTTCCAATTTCATCCATGTCCCTACAAAGGACATGAACTCATCATTTTTTATGGCTGCATAGTATTCCATGGTGTATATGTGCCACATTTTCTTAATCCAGTCTATCATTGTTGGACATTTGGGTTGGTTCCAAGTCTTTGCTATTGTGAATAATGCCGCAATAAACATACATGTGCATGTGTCTTTATAGCAGCATGATTTATAGTCCTTTGGGTATATACCCAGTAATGGGATGACTGGGTCAAATGGTATTTCCAGTTCTAGATCCCTGAGGAATCGCCACACTGACTTCCACAATGGTTGAACTAGTTTACAGTCCCACCAACAGTGTAAAAGTGTTCCTATTTCTCCACATCCTCTCCAGCACCTGTTGTTTCCTGACTTTTTAATGATTGCCATTCTAACTGGTGTGAGATGGTATCTCATTGTGGTTTTGATTTGCATTTCTCTGATGGCCAGTGATGATGAGCATTTTTTCATGTGTTTTTTGGCTGCATAAATGTCTTCTTTTGAGAAGTGTCTGTTCATGTCCTTCGCCCACTTTTTGATGGAATCCTGAGCTCCTACCCAAAATCTTTTTAATTCCACAATTTGGAGATCATCTCTCTTCCTCACCAAGAACCAAATGCAGGTTTGATCTTTAACTATATGATGAAACTTTTTTTAACCTGTATTATAGATCCGTCTATTAATACTTATTGTTAGTGATTACGGTAAGCTTTTTAGTGGAAGGACCTGTGTTTATTTTTGTTTTGCAAAGCATTTAACCCAGTGCTTTGGAGTATAAATATTTGTTGAGTGAGTGAATGAATGAAATGCCTGACTACAACCCTAGCCACCAAATCTTTGAGTTCATCTACTAATGCTTGTTCCCTGGGCTATACAAGACAGAGGTAAAGGCTGGTGGTCCTGTTTACAATATAGGCATTTACTTTTGGTTCTTGCCTTCATCGTGGCTGTGAGGCTTTAGAGTCTCACAGTAAGCTCAGGGGGGTCGCTGGGTACCATGTCAGTGGGCTTCATGAACAAACCCTGGCTGCCGTTATGTCAGCAGCTGCCATCTGTTCCTCTCAAGCTCTGCCTTCCTTTGGTGACTTCTGTGTTGCTGATTAAAGCCACTTGGGGGACCTCACTAATGCTCACCCCTCCTATGGGTCTCCTCTACTGATCTCATCATGGGGCTGACTCCACAGGTAAGCAGTACTTGGTACTTGTTCCTAGGAAGTCAGGGAAGAGGGGAAAGAGGCGCCGGATTGCCGCTTTTCACCTCATCAACTATGGGATCCTGCCTTTTGGCTGCTTTCATTGATCCTTTTATTCTCTATGGATTTTTGTTATGAGATCTTTGTGTTCACAATGAGGAGTCCTAAAAATAAAAAAGATGTCGATGTCATCCATTTAAGTAATCTGTACAGCATTTTAGAAGCAACCAAAATATTCTGTGACAAGCGTTTTCATTAAAATACATCCAATGTGAGAGGCTTACTATAAACTATGCAAAGTATTGTGGTCTTCTAACGGGTGCAAACATGGCATCCTCATAATCACTCTCTTTTGCAGTTTGAGCCTATTGTTTTTTGTCCTTCCTGCACTGAATAGGAGCCACCTTTGTCACCTCTGGAAACTTTGGCTTTAGGGCAGCCCCAAGACTGATTGAGGTGAATATGGTTGTCCCTCCAGTATCTGGATTGAGCAAGTGAAATATCTCTCTGGGGGCGGAGGAGTGCCTGCCTGCAGGGACAGGGTAGGACGGGGGACAGGGGAAGGGTATCCACGTCTGCAGCCAGGCCAGCACAACAAGGCCTTGTTTCTCCTCCACTGCAAAAAGACTGGATGCTTCACTGTTTTGTACTTCATTTCCTTTGAGCTGCTGCCCTCTCTCCTCCTCTGCCAAGTGCATGAGTTTGGCAGGGAGGTTGGCAAGCATTTCACAAGACGGTAAAGGTTAAGGTACAGTGGAGGTTGTTTAGTGCAGAATTGTAAATATTTGTTAAAAGGTTTGTGGAGCTGCTTCTTTTGATACCTCTAATCCACCGAGACAGAAATAACTTCAAAGCCATGCCTAGTCTGACTTGGTCCTCAACCAAAGGAAAAAATCAGCTACTGCTAAAATATGTTTTCACTCACAGCCAGGCAGCCTGCCTTAGCAGGCGTCCTGAAGGATGAATCATAGTTTAATTGTCTTTGGGCACTTGCACATCTGCTTAGGATCGTCAACAGGGCAGGAGCTGAGCTGCATGAATAAATGTGAAGAAGCCTTTAGTTTACACGGTTCCATGCTGTCAACAGCAGAACGAGAAGTCCGTTCAGAAGGATGGGCTGAGCCAGCTCGCCTGCCCACACAGAAGGAAGGCTTCCCAGTGTGCTACTTGGAATGTAGGGAGAACAGCATTTCTCTACAATTTGGGGCTTCTCCAGGGATTTCAGAGTAAGGATTTCCAAATCATCTCATGAGACCTGAGTATCTGAGTTCTTAGGTGGAAAACAGGAGAGGGAATTGGAAGTTATTGCACAATTGCAGGTGGGTTTTAAGAATTTTGGTAGTTTTAAAAATTACTACAAACTTCTGTGGACAATTACTGTTGAATCCAATTCCTTTATTTTCTTCCATTTCCAAAGTATACTCTTATTTTTATCTCATAGGATTTCATTTGTTCCCCAAAGCAATAAAGAACAGACAAGAGTGAGTAGTATTCTGGGTGTCATCTATAGGGAGAAAATTGGTTACATAAACTTGATTTAACAGTTGAAGAGGCTTTAGAACTTTGCAAGGCCTCTGGACTGAGGTTGGCTTATTTCTCAGTCAATGCTTCGTGGCTTTGAGGTTGAGATTTGAGGCCTGACCACAGTCTTCCTACTACTCTTAACTAGAAGTTTGTAGTATGCATTTTCATGCAAGCAAGAGCTGACTCTACTGCATAAAGTGAAAATTGTTGGTTACATCCAAACCCTTGGATCATTTTTCTGATAGATAATGGGCCTTACCTGCTCACTGCAAGAATTCCTACAGCAGTGGGTCACGGCTTGCCACATTTTAGAATCAGAGAGCAGTAAAGAGGCAGGAATGCCTTTGCCTGCCACCAGAACTTCCAATTCTATTGGTCTGGGATGGCTCACAGGCAGGAAATAATGTTTAATGCTCCCACGTGATTCTATTGTAAAGCTAGGGTTGAGGATCTGTGTTCTGTGTTAGGTGACTGCCCAGAGCAGAGAGATAAAACAACGCCCCATCCTCTCCATATTTTCTGATTTGTTTCCTATTTTGGCAAAGAGTGAAGATGGCAGAGGAGAGAAAATATTGTCATGATCTGTGGCCTGAGAGTTCATTTTTTTCCCCAAACAATAATTTTGGGGAAAAAAATTTCCCCCAAAAATAATTTTGTGTGCCTGTTCCTAGCCCTATGAAGATAACAAAAAAATACAAAAATTAATAAGGAAGCAGTGTTTGCTGAGTGAAATAAGTCGGGGCATTTAGAGACCTGGGTTAAGAATCTTGACTCTTAAACTCTCAAACTTTGTGATATAGGGCCAGGAATTTGACTTTTCTTCAACCTTGGTTTATTCCTCTTATAAAAAGTGAATAATGATGTATATCTCGTAGTGTTATTATGAGAGTTAAAATGATGATAAATATAACATCTAGCACCTATGCACTCAATAACAACTATTCTAATATGGTTGAGTTGGCAACAAAAACTGTTACTGAGAATCCATGAAATTTTATTAAGAAGTGAATTTTATGGTTCAGTAATAATTTCCAAAATAATTCATTCAGTAATTTATTTACAAAATCTTTATTGAGTCAGTATTATGTACTAGCAAATGTGCTGGGGATATGGGACCAGGCACAGTCTCTAGACTGATGGGGCTTACAGTCTAGTGGGTAAGTTAGAATAGAGAAGAAGGAAAGGGAAATAATGGTGTCAAGACTTTTACCTGAAAAGGTTGAATTCTTTTCTATTTGACTAAGAAACGCATCTACTGAGAACACCTATTTTGTAGGCAAGCTGAACGGTTAGATACCCAAGTTATGTTATTACTGTGTAACTAACCATCCCAAAACTTAGTGGCTTATAACAAACATTTTGCATTATCTCTCATGGTTCTAGGGGTTGATGGGGACTCACTCAGCTGGGCTGTCCTCAGGATTTCTCACACACTTGCAGGCAAGTGGTGGCTGGGGCTAGAGTCATTGGAAGTCTCTGCTGGGTTCACTGACATGGCTTGCATGTGCTGCTTGCTGCTGGCTGGGAGCATGGGTGGGGCTGTCAACCAAGATGCCCGCATGAATCTTGGGCTTCTCACAACACAATGAGTGTTCCAAGAATGGGCGCATTCAGAGAGACCTAGGTGGAAGCATCATGGATTATTATGACCTTCAGCTTTGGAAACCACAGCATCTCACTTCTATCACTTAACACATTAACAGATGGCCCCAGATTGAAGGGGTAAGGGATACCCAGGGCATGGATTCAAAGAGGGGTAGTTCACTGGGGAGGGAGCGGTAGGTATCCTTGGATCTGTGGAGATGAGCTACCACAGAAATCCTGCAGATAGCTGGAATAGTGGCTGTGGAGTAGGGATGAGTGATTGTGAGACAGGATTCAGATTTGGAAGACATCAGGGTAGAGGTTACAGTTAGAGCAAATGGAAGACCAGTTTTAGAGGAGTGGAGACTCTTAAAGTTATTCAATGGAAGAAAAAACTGAACCAAAAATAGGTCTCGTAGGGGAAGAATGAAGAAAGTCTAAACTCAGGGGTGTTAATGTAGGGAAGTGTTTCATCAAGAAGCATGCTATCAAATTTAAATATCTCAGAGTCTGAGAAGAAAGAGATCTAGAAATGTATGTGATTTAACAAAAAGGAGATCAATGAGTCAGAGCATAGTATAATATGTGCTAGGAGTTTGAGTTTATAGTATAAGATTATGAGTTAGATTGTTCCAGAAGGACTTCATGAATGGAAGGAGGCCTTAGCTGGCATTTGAAGGGTGTATCTGGGAATACATCCCGGAAAATACATTGTGGTTGTGTGTTTGGGCTGGTTGCATAGGGAGCCAACCGTTCACCAAACCCGTCCTCATCTTGCTGGATATCCCACTGGACTACATTAGATGTTATATGACTCTGAGCTCTGATATGTGCCTATAACAACCGTCCACGTGTGATTCTCCATGTTCTCTCTCCTTTTGAAGTGACCCTAGAAGTCATATGTTAAGGATGGCAGAGCTGAAAGATGGAAGAATCCTGAATCCCTGAACCACCCATTGTAGGAGAGCCACCTGCCAAGTAGGAACACCTGTTTTGGGTTTTAAGTAAGCAATAAATAAACTTTTGTATTAAGCCACTGACAGTTTGGTTAATCTGTTCCAATGACTAGCAATAGCTAGAAGTGACAGACTCCTTTAAAGGGCAAGAAACAGACTGATGAGGCTAGGGAGGAGGGCTGGGAATGGGAATAATTGGAGAAAAAATGGAAAAAGTTGGTGGTGGCCAGATTATGGAGGACTTCTTACAACATTACCTCTTACATTTGTATTTTCAAATTTGAAAAACATGTCATATTATCTTTTTCTTACATAGCCTTATGAGGCAGATATTAATATTACATTTTAAAGATGATGAAATTTAGGCTTAAAGCCAGTGATTGTATCCTAAAGTTATGCAAGCACAGAGCTAAGGTTTGAATGTGGGTTGACAGAGTTGGAGGCTACTACTCTCTCCAGTAAATGACAACTAACTCGTATGGCCAATTGAAAGTTGGAAAGTACTACAAACAGTCTATGTGTTCAAGGCAGAGTCTAAGGATTATTATTTTGGTAGCAGCTTTTAGGATGAATGAGCACTGATTCTAATTAATGGGCTTTGGAGGCAGCAAGGAGCAAAGTGATAAGCTTGAATTAAGGTGGTGGCAGATGAGAAGGAAAGGAAGGGTCAAAGTAAAGTTTTATGAAGAAAAAATTTACAGGGACTGGATCCTGGGTGTGAGATACAAGAGTGAGGCAGGATTAGATGCTACCTACTGTTAAGGTTCAAGTATGTCTGGGCATGTTTAGCAAAATGGTAGGGAAGGCCCCAGAAGAGTTAATTTGCATGGGGACTTCATTTATCTTGAAAAGAGGACTTTTGTACCTGTCTGGGGGAATGGAAGAGAGGTGCTTATTCAATTCCCAGGGCCCTGGTCTAGATCTGAGACAGGCAGAGAGAGGCACAGAAGGCAAAAGCAGATGAAAATGGTTTCATAAAAGATTTTGTGAAATGTGGGGCAAAAGACTGTTTCGGAGCTCAAGGAACAAACATGTTATGACATGGTGCTGGAATAACAGGCCCTCTAGCCTTTTTCTCATAGGACCTGCATGGCTCTGACCCAATGCGCCTTGAAGGGGATGTGCATTTTTTTTTGGAATCGAGTGCACTCTGCACATTTGGGAGCCTGGGGATAGCACAGGGGCAAGAATGGCATTTGGGAATTGTATCCCTCAGAAGGTGCCAGTGGGGCAGCAGCACCTGTGCTCCTATGGAGTAAGCAGGCAAGGGCTTCTCATCTGCATAAGTGGGACACTCACAGGGGGCTCAGGAACACCTGGTTGGGGTGAGGGGCCTTGCAGCACGTGGGGACAATGGGTGAGCAAAATTTGAATTATTGCTATTGATGTAGTTATTTGCCTCTAACAATTGGTGAGCCCTGGGGAAATTCTGGATCCCACTGGGACCCATGCTGAGAATATTAATGTATAATTTAATGAGGAGACACCTTCCACACACAAGATGGGATCATTTAAGGATTGAGACCTGAACAACAAAAACCGGCTTATTTATACAAATGTAACCTAATCCTAACCCTTTTTAAGCTTCTTATTGTGCTCTTTTACTTGATGGGACTTGGTCTGGCAGCATCCTTGGTGTTTAAGAGGTTATATTTTCAGAAAAAAAGAATTTTTTTTTTACTTGAATGTTTCAAAATGCTTTCATGGTATGTGAAGAAAGCCACTTGATTAAAGTGTCTGTAGTTTACATTAAATCCCTTCTTTCCAAAGAATGTAAAGTTCTGGCACAAACTAAAAGGGTTAAACTACACCTGGCCCTTTCACTGTGTCATTGCGAATATTGTGAGTAAAGTCCAAAATATGAGTCTTCATGTGAATATTTGGTAATTTCTCCCTGTCCCGCCCCTGCACCCGGCACCCCGCCCCATGCATCTCACGCTGTAAATATGTTACTCATTTATCAAGTACTGTGTGGTGGGCAAGCAAATTGGCACTTTTGACACCCCCTCCAGTAGTAGAGGGAGAAAACCTGTAGAGACTAAACCTTTGCTCATTCATCTGTTCATTGTACCACCCTTCTCTTACAAAACCCACTAACTAGAAGCCTCCTGGTATTGGTTCTGCGTCTGTTTGCTCCTTCTTCCGTGTTTTTGAGATGCAGAGCTGCCTGTTTAAACACACAAAACCCATCCACACGTTGAGTTTAGATGAGACCATCCTAAGCCACAGGCTATTATTTTTCCTGCTTTGAGTATCACTACCTCACTCGCATTTGTTATCCTTAAAGAAATGGCTCCCAAGGGCGAGGGAGCAGCACTGTATCTTCCTTCCCCCCTTCTCAGCAGCCCTGCTTATTTGATAGATTGCTCCATTAAAACAAATCTATTTACTTAAAGACGGACTGCCAGACTTCCATAAACACTTGTGAGAGAAAGACAGTCCGGTTCGTTGTTCTCTGCCCAGCCATTATCCACGGTGTTTCAAGCCTTCTGTATTTTGGCCTGGAGGACAGAGACTTGGAGGTCGGTGTGGCCACATTTTCTGCAGGAGCTGTTTCTGGCACTTCGGGTGTTGCTCATTCCCTTAGCTGCAGCAGGGGAGCCAGTGTCACTTGTAGGCAAGAATACAAAGCAAACTGAAATGCTAAAGAAATAAGTTGGCAGAGCTTGTTCCACAGGCCCAATCCAACAACAACCTAGTAACCATTTAACTTTTGCCCATTTGTTTTATTTGTTGCATCATATGCTTTAAGGCAAAGTTAGCACAAACAACTCATTCATCCAGTATTTATTGAATGTCTATGATGTGCCAGGTACATCATAGGCATTGAGGCAATGAGGATATAGCATCGAACTAAATCAGACAATAATCACTGCTCTTCTGAAGCAAACATTCTAGTGGGAAAAGAAAACAATTATTAATATTGTATATTAAGTGAAAATTATGCAGTTAAACATAAAATTATAGGGCTTCACGTATTTCATAAATCTATTTGAAATAACATACAGTGTCATATCACTTTACAGTTTGTAAATAGTTTTTTATATATCAGGTGAAATGAAGGAGGTACTTTCATATGTTTCAACTTTGTTATCATTTCAGTAGCTCTGTGAGGTGGGCATTGTTTACCTTGTTTACTAATGGTGAAGCTAAGCTCAGAGTTGGTTGTATAAGCCCAGCTTTGCAGAGTCACCTCAAGCTCAGACACTCTGCCAGAGAAACTAGAACAAAACCTCAAACCATGGGTCCAATGAGCTGTATGTTTTTGAAATAATACTGGTAAAAATGTAAAGACTTTTACAAGGTTAATAGCGGTCTGACAGTCATGTGGAGGGAGACTCAAGGAGATTCATAAATTATGCTACTGTCACTTGCATCCGTCCATACTTTGCCTCTTAGGGTGTTACATACTCAAGAAATCTCCGGGAGGGGTGTGTGGTACAAGCAGTGGGAAACTAAGCGCCACACTCTGCTGCTTTGCAGTGAGATGCTGGAAAAAGACTACTGCATTTAGAGTTTCCATACCTGAGTCTCAGTTGAATCTGTGATGTGGGCTGGAGATTCCAATTATTGGGAATGTATCTGGGGCATTCTGGGGCCCATGAACTCCAGAAACAAAAAACCCCAAACTCCCTTCAGAGGCAAAGTCCTGCACTGAGGAGAAACTGCTGGGAATAGAATCCAACCTGACAATAGGAATAACAACACCAACAGAATGAGAAATTCCGGTGAGAATGGGAGAGGGAGCAGAGAAGGAACATCTCAGAAAGCCAGGATGTATTTATCTCCTTAAAAACAACAAAAGAGGTAATTCTAGAGCTATGGGCCTAGAAAAGTGATCTAGACACATCCTTCTCTCCTAAAAGTGGAGAAAAACTCATCTTTCTGAAAAATGAGCAACAGAAAAAGGATCGTGGGTGAATCGCATACAAAGTTATGCAAAAAGGAAAATAAAAAGCAGAAAATGTCTCTATTCAATGAAGAATTTAGAGAAATATGCCGAAATAGAAGACAATTATAACCAGATGTTTCAAAATAAGCTAAAAAATTTAAGAAAGTGATAGAAACTATGAAAGAACAACAGAAATAAGAATTAGAAAAAACTCGGAAATGAGAATTGGGCAAAAGGATCATTTCAATGACAACAGAATTTATAAAAAAAAAAAAACTTTTTAAAAAATTAGAAACGATAAAACTGGGAAGAAAGTAAAAGTTAATTAACACAATGAATATTGTCTTAAATAGAAGAGGGAAAAAAGAAAAAAATTTTAAAAATCAAGAAATGAAGGAAAGAAAGTGTTTGAGAGAAAGTGATACATAAAAGAACAAAGAACATCCAATATACATGCTATAGGAACCCCCAAAGGAGAAAAGCAAATAAATGAAGCACAAGAAATACTAAAATCTGTAATATGAGGAAACTTTCCTGAAATAAAAAAATGAAGTCAGGTCTCATATTAAAAGGAATGACTTGGGAAAACTGTTCCCCAGAAAACCAACACCAAGACATATTCTAGTAAACATTGGACCTAAAAGAGACAGAGAAAAAAGACACTTTGGGTATCCAGGCAAGAGGACAATTCACGTGTTAGGGAAAATAAATAAAATTTTCATCAGACCATCCAAGAGCAGTATGTTAGCCCGAGAACAACAGAATAATAATTACAATACTTAAGAAAATGTCAGCTAAGGAGTTTATATCCAGCCAAACTTACCTTCACATACACAGTTCAGACATGCTTTATGACCATGCCCAAACTTAGGAAGTGGCAATCCTATGAGTTCTTCCTGAGAAATCTACAAGAGCCTGTGACTTAGACAACCCTGATTACTGTCAAGGTGTTGGTGGAAGGGCTGGTGGGCCTTGCTGGTGGAAATGCTCCACTAAAAGGAGGAAGCAAACTAGGAGAAGGAAGGATGGTATTCAGGATGTATGGGATCCAATGCAAAACAGGTGAAAGCAAGAATAATCTGAAAGATGCCTCTATAGAAAACTGTCTTCAATAGAAGCATGTTGGAGGGTATGGGAAACTTAGTCAGATGTTTAAACAAAGCATATGAAAAAAATAAGACAATTATTAATTCCAGGACAGACAAAAAGTTGTATAAGAAATTAAATATAATCATAGTATATTACCTGACTTAATGAATAATATGTACATAGTCAAAATACAGAAACTGAATATAGATATGACTCCAGATATATTAATAAGACAAATTATGTTTAGAGAATATTGAAGGGGAAAAGATAGTATAATTGAACTGTTATCCTAATCCACTGTAGTAAAAATCAATAGCTAATGAATCAAGTAATAGGATTATATTGTATATATTATTCAGGAATATGGAGGCAAAAAATGGAGGAAAAACAGTAAAAGAGTTTGAAGACATTGTTTCTGGGGGAAAAAGATAAGGAATGTAAGAGGGATAAGGGACTGTTGTTTTGGTTATAAGACTTTTAGTCCAATCTGATTTTTTTAGACAGGGTCTAGCTCTGTCGCCCAGGCTGGAGTGCAGTGGCATGATCTTGGCTCACTGCAACCCCCGCCTCCCGGGTTCAAGTGATTCTCCTGCCTCAGCCTCCTGAGTAGCTGGGATTACAGGCACACACCACCACGCCTGGCTAATTTTTGTACTTTTAGTAGAGATGTGGTTTCACCATGTTGGCCAGGCTGGTCTCAAATTTCTGGCCTCAAGTGATCCACCCGCCTCGTCCTCCCAAAGTGCTGTTATTACGGGCGTGAGCCACCGCACCGGGCCCCTCCCTATCTGACTTTTTGTCCGAAGTGCACGTATTCTTTGATAACAAATGAAAATGATAATTAAAATAGAAAAGCCTCCACTGAGCCCTGACTTTCAAACAAAACCAACTCCCTGCCCATCACATTCCCAAAGGCCTCACCCTGGCAGGTGACCAGCCGTCTCTCCATGGTCTCTTCCAGATTCCTCGAGGTCTGAACAAGAACCACTGACGCAGAACGTGAAAACTAGAAGCGTTCATTAGCGACCACCCTTTGTTTGACTGATGAGGAAATCAAGGCTGATGGTGAGTGGCTGGCCCCAATGTACTGCTCTCTTGTTGTGTTTGACTTAGATCTTTGGTCTCCTGCCCGGGATTGGTGTTCTTTCTGCTGTCACAAAGTGCTCCCTCCAGTGAGTGTATTCGATCCATGTGAACATCTCCCTTCAGGCCGCTGGTGGTCTCAGCGCCTGCTTTTCCCCTGTCCTCTTAGGCATGCTCTGATGTGAACTATTTTGGAGCTGCCTTTGGGCTGAGTTTGGCCGGATCCAGTGCACTTTAACCTGCCCTCTGCTGCCCTCTGCTGGCGACATCTGGGCTTTGCTGTTCACCCTTTTGGGCGTGGCCCCACCACTTCCTTTCTGTGAAGAACATTCTTTGCGTCTGGGCATGATTGTGCCCTCTGACCTGTGCCAATCCATGTTGACTAGTCCCGTCTGTTACCTGGGAGCTTGTTAGGAATGCAGAACCCTAGGCCCCACTCTATATTTATTGAATCAGAATCTGCATTTTAACTAGATCCCAAGTGATTCATATGCACATTAAAGTTTGAGAAGCACTGTTCTGGGTCAAACTCAGCTACATTCAGGAAACAGTCGAGATCAATCTTTTCTACTCAGTAATTATCTTGGATCACTCTAATACCTGTTCCAGTTCTGTCACTTGGTAATGATGATTTCTGGTCCAGATGCTTTTTTCTGCCTGGACGGCTGTCTGCAATAACAGAGAACAGGAAGTGCCATACTTGGAATTCTAAATTTTAAAAATCCACTAAATTAAAAGCTGAGATGGCAGGAAGGCATAGCACGTGTATTGTGCTACAATATTTCAATCCTCCTGCATCTTTTCCCCTTTACCTCCCACAATTAATAGGAATGTCATTTTGGCTTTGAAGATAGACTAAACTTATCCTATAAGTTTAAAAAAGATCTATTTTGGTTTTGGAGGGTCTTATTTTGTTGTGACATGGTCTTGCTCTGTCACCCAGGCATGTGCCACCACATCCAGATAAATTTTAAATTTTTAGTAGAGATGTGGTCTCCTCTCCCAATGTTGCTCAGGCTGACCTTGAACCCCTGCGCTCAAGTGATCCTCCCGCTTCAGCCTCCCAAAGTGTTGGGATTCCAGGCATGAGCCACAGCACCCAGTCTCTATTTTGTTTATAAATTATAAAATCTTTTTATATAACTGCACTGGGTATTTGGGAGACATTAGTCTGCAGGGTTTTCAGAATGCTAGAAACACAACATGTTACTTAATGAAGTATTCCCCCATGTTCTCTTGCACAACTTCATTCATTCTCAGGCATTTGACTGTCAAAGGTTTACTAAACACCCACCATAGACCAGACATGTGTTTGGTTCTGAGAATTCAGGGTAGACGTGGTTCCTACTTTCATTGATATTCCAGTCTAATGTGTAAGACAGCGATTAAGCAAATTATGATTTCATAACAACTGTATCAAGAGAAACTGATGAAAGTTTAAATTGGCTTCCATGAAAAAATGACATTTAAATGGAGACTTAAAGGATATTGGAGTTGGTGAGGGGTGAGTGGGAAAGAGCAATTTAAGTCAAGAAAGTCCTGAGAGGAGCAGGAGCTGAGTGGGAGCACCAGAAAAAGGAGTGTGGCCGAGCGCAAGCTGGAGACAGTCTGTGAGGGACATTGAGGCCAAATGGGGCAGGGTTTAGTGGCACCTGGAAGTTAGCTGGTGGTTGATCTTATTGTAAGAACAATGGGAGCCACTGGAGAGTTAAACACAGGGAAAATGATGTGATAGAATTTTTTCATTCTCACCAAACTTGCTATTGTTCATGCAGGTTGAAGCTGACCCTAAGTCTCTGGGCCATGGTATCACTTATGGGCATGCCAGACTTTGGGTTGAGTGTAGGCTCTGAAACCATATCCCCCTGTTCCCAGCCGACCAGAAAAGACAACTAATTCTCTTCCTTCTGCATGCCCCAAGAACACAGAACTGTAGACTGTGGCTACCCATGTTCCATCTACTTCCTGAAAGAGGTCCTCCCCTCCACTCTCTGCCATCCAGCCCCCTCTTGCTCCAAAACTTTAGTAAATGGGTTTAATGTAGTCTGAAGTTTTTCTACAGAGTATATTTATCACCATAGCAAATGATGCTCATTCTTTGAAAACAAGCCTCTGGTGTATAAACTATAAGGATAGTTTTATCCAGGCATAAAGCAGAGAGAGTGATACCAGTTCATGCCTGGATAGAATTATTGGAAAGGGGAGTTCAAAGACAGAATTCTGCTTTGACAAGAAGAATTTCAAAATATGACTTTGCCCCCCAAAAATTTTACTTCAGAAGGGGGAACTCACACTATTTGAGAAGGAGTAGGCAGGTTGTTTAGAAACTCTGAAAATGGATTAAGTGGGCATGTTTGCTTTTATGGCTTACAGCAGAGTAGAAGAAAAATAACACTAATCTATTATTAGAAATGCAATTTGCTTTTAAATCAATTATGCAGAGACTGTGAGAAAGAGGAGTCAAAATAAACTTAGTATAAGTCAGGAAGATTTTACTCTGTAACTAGGTTTTGTTTTTTTGGGTTCTATATTTGGCTATTACTGAAAAATTGTTTATTTAGTGAAATACATTAAAGTTTTCTTAACACGCATAACTACTTTTTACATAATTAGCCCTTCTGTAGCAGTATTTCACATCTGTCTTTGCTATAAGTCCCAAGGGCAGCTGAACCCAGGCTGCAATGGGACACATTGACTGGCCACCTGAGCTTGTGGCTTGGTCTAGCAAACAGGGTCCCCAGAGATATCCCAAGAAGTCTAGAGGACCAGTCTCAGAAAACAAACCAGTGTTGGTGTGTGTTTTGTAAAAAAGTTTCTCCAAACTTACATTTAGCACTTCTCTGATCACAGCACTACCTATTGCTTCGGATTGAAGCCAAGAATCTGCTTTTGCAATTTTAGTCTGCTTCCAATATGTCAAAAGATGCTGTAAAATTCTCAGACCTGGCTGATCATATACTGATTTATACATTTCTATTTCCACCTACATAAGCACATGCCATATAACTCACCAGAGGCTTCAGGAATAAAATCACACAATGACAGGTAGTAACTCTAAGAATCCTGCACAATCAGTGAGTGTCCGAGCTCTTCTAGAACTCTCGGTGAGCCATCAATAGAGCAGGTGCAGTTGGAGGATGATTTATTCTTCAACTGAAGTCGATTCAAGTCACTTTCTAGGGAAAAAAAGTGTTGCTTCTTAGGGAGCTGTCATTTCTCTCTACATTTCCTTTTCACTCACCAATCTTGCTTGAACCAGGCTCCCTTTTAACAGTGAATGTGGAAGTAAGAATGCAGAACCCCATTCTGAGGAACAAACAGCATTTAACAGGTGAACTTGTAGAAGGAAGACCAGTATCTGGGCACCATCAAACTTAGTAGGGCATTTCTAGTGGAACAGAAATGTTTTCTTTGCGGACAGATATCTAAGGGCTCTCACACTTTCATTTCTTGGGAAGATAATAAATGCAGTAAAATATGTTGTTTGCTTTAGATATTCTGGATGCCTTTTCCTGTGGGATTTCTTCATGTGCCTTTTTTGTGCTGTTTTGTGTTTCTGTGAACAAGAAAGAAATGTGTTTCTCTTATGGCTAGTGGCAAAAGTAAGCCAGGCTGGAGGTTTTTTCATTTACTGTAAACTGTAACTTCCTTACAGCAAGGTGCTTAGTATTGGGGGATGGAGTTTACAGAATGAATACAGTTGAGTGAGGTTAGAAAGAAAATCAGAGACAAAGAAAGTGGCTATATTGAGGATGTTTAAAATGTTCTATTTTCTGCAGAGCCACGTATAACAAACTGACCTCTGAGAGCCATATTCACAAGCTCATTAAAAGCCCAGAGCTAGAAAAAACCTCCAGATGTATGGCCTATTTCTCACTCCATCCTTGCCATGGTTGGGCTTAGGAACTTTGACTACCCTGGTGAAGAAGGAGAGAAAAAGAAGTGGGAGGGAGAGAATCATTTCAAATGAAAGGTTTAAATTTGAAGTGACTGGGTAAACTTAAGTGAAAATAAAGACTCTAAAGCTAAGCTAACATCGGTTTTGGAAACATAAAGCAGTGTAAATTTTTGCACATCCCACTCTCAGTACAGAATCTCTGAAACTTAAATCTGTTCAGGCACCAAGCAGAGCCCAGAGCAGTATTGTACGGTAGTTCTTCCCAAGAGCACTTCCGTGCATAGAACTTACAAGCCATCCTACTGAGTTTCCCAAAACGAAATCATCACTGGATGTTCCTTTGATACAAAAAAAAAATAATAATAATAATAAAAAAAAGAAGAAAGAGGAGGAGGAGGAGAAGGAGGAGGAGGAAGAGAAGAAGAAGTCATCATTCTTTTTCTGGCATTGGCCAGTTTTGTAATGTTAAAATTTGATATTTTTAAATGTATACAACATGCCTGGTCCTGTGTGCCTCTGGGGTAAAGATAAAAATATGGTACAGTCTTGCCCATGAAGACCTGACATTCTAGTCAGAGACATTAGATATATGCATGATGAATACATGATTAAGGAATAGGACAGCGTATCATGAAGTGATCATTGGGTAAAACTGAATAACAATGACATTTATTGCACACTTGCTATGCAACAGCTTCTGTATTAGTCACTCTATGTCTATTAACTCTTTTACCGTGACAACAATCCTGTGGGGTAGGGGTGATTATTATCCCCATTTTACAGAAGAGAAAGTGGAGACACGGAAAGTGAGTGCCATCTTGGGGCACTATGTCTTTGAACTAGTGTTCAAACCTGGCCTGAGATTTGCTGCCTCCCAGAGTTAAAAGGAGAGAGGAGAGCATGGGTCAAAGTTATTCGAGTGGCTTCTTAGGAGAAGCAGAGTTGGGCTGGGTCCAGAAATAAGAGTAGGCAGTTGTGAATTGCTAGAAGTGGAGGTTGGAAGGCCTTCCAGGTAGGAGAACAGCATGAACACAGGAGGGCTCCAGGCAGGATGAGTGGAAGGCTACTAAAGAGAAACTCTGACATGGAGGCCAGTGTGTTCCAGTGGAAAGAGAATAGGCTCCAGGGTTATGCCCATCTTAAGTTCCAGCCCAGTCACTTACTTGCTTCAACTTCCCTGAGCTTAAGTTTCTTCATCTATATATTGGAAGCAAATTAATAACCTCATCACAGAGTTGTGAGTAGTCAAGATATGATTCATATCATCTCTTAGCACAGAAACTATGACAATGTCGGTGCCCAATAAAAGGAAGCTATTATATTATTCTAAAAGATATGTTAGGAGAAGTGGGAAACTCATGCTGAACAGGGAGATGTGACCAGATTGTGGAAGGTCTTGTAAATCAGGTGGCAGTGAATAGGCATGTCATGGTAGCCACTTGGGAAGAGAAGTCACAAACTTCAGGCCTTTTATGACTTATAAATGAACAATGATCAATATGGTGGGCTGTGACAAGGGTTTTTTTTTTTTGAATAAAATAGAGCTAGAATTGAAATTTCACAGTGCTTCAGGGATAATACATTATTGTTTTATGATTCTCTTGATTCAGTTTGTATGTATTTTTGTAGGTGTATTTTATACATGTATGTGCAGGGTAACTATAAAAATTACTTCTTACTGTAGGTTGAGGTGAAAAAAGTTTAAAAACCACTAATTTAGATGGTGTCCTCCTCTACCAATTCCAGATGTCCTGATAAATAACAACTTGCCTACAAGAGCCAGAGAAATTTTGAAATGCATGACATTGTAGTAAGCACAGATTTTAAACCACAGTAAAGTGAGACTGCATAGAAAGTTTTTCTTGACTTTATCCTGTGGGGCTGCAGTGGCACAAAATGGTGCCCTGACATAGTTTTGATGTTTGTCCCCCCACCAAATCTCATGTTGAGATGTGATTCCCAATGTTGGAGGTAGGGCCCAGTGGAAGATGTTTGGGTCATGGGAGCGGTTACCTCATGAATGGCTTGGTGCCCTCCCCATGGTAATGAGTTCACACAAGAGCTGGTTGTTAAAAAAAAAAAAAAAAAAAAAGAGACTGGGACCTGCCTCCTCTCTCTCTTGCTTGTTCTCTTGCCATGTGACACAACTGCTCCCCTTTTGCCTTCTGCTATGAGTAAAAGCTCCCTGACACTTCACCAGAAGCCGAGGGTATGCTGGTGCTATGCTTGTGCAGCCTGCAGAACTGTGAGCCAAATAAACTTCCTTTCTTTAGAAATTAGCCAGTCTCAGGTTTTCCTTTATAGCAATGCAAAATAGACTAATACATGCTCCATACCAAACAACCTGAGGCAAGTGGAGTTCCTTTCGAAGAGGCATTCTTTACTGCTTTTGATCTCCAGAAGCCATGTAGTGAAAGTTGTTCCAGATCTGGCTAATAGCTTTTATAAATCTTCCAGAAAATTTGTGTCAGTTCCCCTCCCTAAAGAAAATAAACAAACATATAGAAAATAATCATTGTTAAAGAAACACTATTTTAAATTTTGCTAAATGAACGGAATTTCCCCCAGTCAAATTGCCCTTTTTCCCCCAGAGCAACAATACCCTCTCAGCTAATCATTTGATATGTTGGGTCTGTAGAATTTCCTCATTCTTAGGAGGCAAGAGCTGGTTCTTCTTGAATTGTTACCAATGGCAATGATTAAAAAAAGGTACAACGTGGGAAGTTGGAAGGGGGCACATAAAAGGTGTTTAGTAATTACTGGTTAACTATGTCAAACCTAAAAATAATCCTGTCCAAAATTGTTCCATAAGTAAGATTCCTCCTTGTTCCCAACCAGAGAGAATATAATTCTGTGCCCTCGGTCCCCAGTATCCTCCAAGCCCCTCTTTCTCACTCCGTATGGAAGCAGGCACAATTCATAACTGATCTCTCTAAGGAATGCAGTAATTTTGACCCAGTTTCTTACTGGTGCATCCCCAAAGTTGTATTTCTATTCCTAAAGGCTGTCTTCTAACTCGTCTTTCCCTCCAGGAAGATGTTGTGATGTTTTTTTCCTCATTTCATATTCTTACCTTCCTGCTCTCCTTATTCATTGAAAACCATCCACTCTTTCCTTCGGTGCAGTGATTTGAGAAATTGCCCCCATACAATCTGTTTTTGTTTCATAACATGTTCTTCCCCAAGCTTTCTGGTAATTATTTTGACCTTGGATCTTTCTGGAGGAGTATGGATTCCTATATTTCCCATGCCTCACTTCCACCTACCAAGTTGATTCTGTTCTTCTTTTGCTGCAGGCCAGGAAATTATCTCTTGACAATCTTTCTTCTTTGCATTACAACCTATGTAAAGCATCCCTACTTCTAGAAAACCTTTCTACTTTCTGAATGCCAAATCTTGTTTCCCTTTCTTTTGAGATATTTTTCAATGCTATTTTTCAATACAGACAAAATATGGACTGGATTCCCAAGACCCCAACTACACCCAACAGTAGAAGGAGAGAAAAGGACAATAGGACATGAGATGCTAAATTCAGTACTGACCTGGATCCCAAGAACTTTGAACATTTTCAACTATTCTATTTAGCTATTTGACAGTACTTGTGAGTTTCTTTTTTTAAAATTTTTTTATTATTATTACACTTTTAAGTTTTAGGGTACATGTGCATAATGTGCAGGTTTGTTACATATGTATACATGTGCCATGTTGGTGTGCTGCACCCATTAACTCGTCATTTAACATTAGGTATATCTCCTAATGCTATCCCTCCCCCCCCCCCCACCCCACAACAGGCCCCAGACTGTGATGTTCCCCTTCCTGTGTCCATGTGTTCTCATTGTTCAATTCCCACCTATGAGTGAGAACATGTGGTGTTTGGTTTTTTGTCCTTGCGATAGTTTGCTGAGAATGATGGTTTCCAGTTTCATCCATGTCCCTACAAAGGACATGAACTCAACATTTTTTATGGCTGCATAGTATTCCATGGTGTATATGTGCCACATTTTCTTAACCCAGTCTATCGTTGTGTGAGTTTCTTGATTATGAAATTATTTTGTGTGAGTGCTGGTATAAGGTGAAATGTTATTTGGTGAACTAATCTTCTAACTTCTCTACACATTGATTTGTTGCATATTCAAAATATGTTTTATTAACAAATTTTATTTTTAGAGCAGTTTTCAGAGGAAAACAGAGTTTTCTATAATATCCCCCCTCACTTTCCTCATTATTAACATCCTGCAAAACAGTAAGATGTTTGTTATAATCTATGAACCTACATCAACACATCCTTATCATCTCAAATCTCTAGTTTACATTAGGGCCCACTCTTGGGTTGCACTTTCTATGGGTTTTGACAAATATATAATGACATCTATCCACCATTGTAGTATTGTACAGAATAGCTTCACTGCCCTGAAAATCTTTTGTGCTCCACTTACTCATCCCCTGCCCCACCTGCCTAGCAACCACTAATCTTTTTCCTTCTCCATAGTTTTGTTTTTCCCAGAATGTTATAATAGTTAAAATTGTACCGTATGTAGTCTTTTCAGATTGGCTTCTTTAGCTTAGCAACATGCATTTAAGTTTCTTCTTTGTCTTTTCATGGCTTGGTAGCTCATTTTTTTAACACTGAATAATATTCCTTTGTCTTGATGTACCACAATTTATTTATCCGTTCACCCACTGAAAAACATCTTGGTTGCTTCCAAGTTTTAGCAATTATGAATATAGCTGCTATAAACATCCATATGCATTTTTTGTTTGTGTGTATGGATGAAAGTTTTCAATTTATTTGAGAAAATACCAGGGAGTGTGATTGCTGGATCATGTGCTAAAAGTATGCTTAGTTTTGTAAGAAACTGCCAAGTTATCTTTCAAAGTAGCTGTACCATTTTGTATCCTCACCAGTAATGAATAAGAGTTTCTGTTTTTCCACATGATTGCCAGCATTTTGTGTTGTCAGTGTTTTGGATTTTGGCAGTTATAACAGGTGCACAGTGGTACCTCATTGTTGTTTTAATTTGCAATTCCTTAATAATATATGATGTTGAGCATCTTTTCATTTGCTTACTAACCATTTGTGTATCTTCTTTGGTGAATTGGCTGTAAAAGTCTTTTGTCCATTTTTAAATTGAGTTGTTCATTTTGTTATTGGTGAGTTTTAAGAGTTCTTTGTATATTTTGGATAACACTCCTTTATCAAATGTGTCTTTTGCAAATATTTTCTCTCAGCCTGTGGCTTGTTTTATCATTCTCTTGACAGTGTCTTTTGCAGAGTGGAATTTTTAATTTTAATGAATTCTAGCTATCAATTATTTATTTCATGGGTTGTGCCTTTGGTATTGCATCTAAAATGACATCTCCATACACAAAGGTCATCTAGATTTTCTCCTATGTTATCTTCCAGAAGTGCTATAATTTTGCATTTTGCATGTGAATGTCCAGTTGTCCGAGCCATTTGTTGAAAATGCTATCTTTGCTCTATTGTATTGCCTTTGCTCTTTTCTCAAAGATCAGTTGACAAACTGATCTTTATGTGGGCCAATTTCTTGGCTTTTGGGGTCATTTTCTTGGCTTTATGTGGGCCTATATGCCAGCTTTCTATTCTGTTCCACTCATCTACCTGTATATTATTTCATTGGTAACACATTGTCATGATTACTGTAGTAATATAAACATGAAATATAAAGATATTAAGTCTGATGTTGGGCAGTGTCAATCCTCTTACTTTGTTCTCCTTCAATATTGAGTTGGTTATTGTGGGTCTTTCTCCTTTTCATACAAACTTTAGAATTAGTGTGTTAATATCCACAAAATAATTTGCTGAAATTTTGATTGGGATTGTGTTGAATTTATGGGTCAAGTTGAGAAGAACTAAAATTTTGACAATATGGAGTCTTCTTATACTTGAAGATAAAATATCTCTCTATTTTAAATTTTGTCTTGGGTATCTTTCATCAGAGTTTTTTGGTTTTCCTCACATAGATTTTGTATATATTTTGTTATATTTATACCTAAATATTTCATTTTTGGGGGTGCTAATGTGAATGGTAATGTATTTTTAATGTCAAATTCCACTCGTTTATTGCTGGTATATTGGAAAGTGATTGACTTTTGTATATTAATCTTGTATCCTACCATTTTGCTATAATCACTTATTCTAGGATTTTTTGTCAATTCATTAGATTTTCTACATAGAAAATTATATCATCTATAAATAAAGCCAGTTTATTTCTTCCTTCCTAAATTTGTATACCATTTTTTTCCTTTTCTCGTTTTATTGAATTATCCAGAACTTTCAACACAATGTTGAAAAGCAGTGGTGAGAAGGGACATTTTTGCTTGTTCTTGATCTTAGTGGGAAAGCTTTGAATTTCTTACTACTAGGTGTGATGATATCTATAGACATTTTGTAGATGCTCTTAATCAAGTTGAGAAAATTCGTCTCTATTCCAAGTTTGCTGACAGTTTTTATCATGAATGTTTGATTTTGTCAAATTATTTTTCTGTATCTAATAATATGATCATGTGATTTTTATTTTTTAGACTATTGATGTGCTAGATTATATTAAATGATTTTTGAATGTTGAACCAATCTTGTGTACCTAGGATAAAACTTATGTGGTTGTGGTATAGAAGTATTTTTATACATTATTGGATTTCATTTGCAAATATTTTGTTGAGGATTGTTGCTTTTATATTCATCAGTGATATTGGTCTATAGTTTTCTTTGCTTGTAATGTCTTTGTTTGGTTTTGGTGTTAGGGTAATTCTGGCCCCATCAAATGAGTTAGAAGGTAGTCCCTCTGCTTCTATCTTTTGAAAGAGTTTTTTTTTCTTCCGTTGGAGCTGGTATTTATGTTTGTTTTTCCCCCACTCCCAAATCTCTCCTGGATATCCGGTTTTATGTTGATTTTTTTTTTTTTGAGATTTTAAAGAATTTGTGTAATTTCTTCCTTAAATTTTTGTTAGAATTTACCAGTGAACCCACCTGGGCCTGGTGCTCTCTGTGTTGAAAGGTTATTAATTATTTATACAATTTCTTTAATAGATATAGACTTATTCAGATGCTCTATTTCTTCTTTTGTGAATTTTAACAGATTGCATTTTTCAATAAATTGGTCCATTTTATTTAGGTTGTAACATTTATGGGCATAGTAATTATTTTATTATCCTTTTAATGTCCATGGGATATTTACTGAGGTCCCTAATTTCATTTTCATTTATTGATTTGTGTGTTCTCTCTCTTTCTTTTTTTTGCTTAGCCTGGCTAGAGGCTTATTGATTTTTATTGATCTTTTCAAAGAACCAGCTTTTGGTTTTACTGATATTTTTCTATTGATTTCCTGCTTTCAATTTTATTGATTTCTAGTAATAATAATAATAATAATTTTCTTCTGCTTATTTTGGATTTAGTTTGTTTTTCTTTTTCTAGTTTTCTTATGTGGAGACTTAGATCATTGACTTTACATATTTCTTCTTTTCTAATGTAATCATTCAATGCTAATATAATCATTCAATGCTACAAATTTCTCTCTACACAGTGCTTTCACTGAATCCCCCCAGTTTTTTAAATTGTATTTTCTATTTTATTTAGCTTAAAATATTTTGTTTATTTTTTCTTTTTTTGACAGAGTCTCACTCTGTTGTCCAGGCTGGAGTGCAGTGGCATGATCTTGGCTCACTGCAACCTTTACCTCCTGGGGTTAAGCAATTCTCCTGCCTCAGCCTCCTGAGTAGCTGGGACTACAGGCACGCACCACTACACCTGGCTAATTTTTGTATTTTTGGTAGAGACAGGGTTTCATCATGTTCGCCAGGCTGGTCTTGAACTTCTGGCCTCAAGTAATCCACCTGCCTTGGCCTCCCAAAGTGTTGGGATTACAGGTGTGAGCCACTGTGCCCAGCCAAAATATTTTAAAATTTTTATTAAGATTTTTTCTTTGACCCATATTATTTAGAAGTGTGTTGTTTAATCTTCAAGTATTTTTAGATTTTCTAGACATTCTTCTGTTATTGATTTCTAGTTTAATTCCATTGTGGTTTGAGGTATTATATGATTCTATTATATTAAATTTGCTAAGGTTTGTTTTATGGCCCCAAATGTAATCTATCTTTTGGATGCTTCTCGTGAACTTGAAGAATGTATATTCTGCTACTGTTGGATGAAATAGTCTATAGATGTCTGCTATATCCAGTTAATTGATGATGCTAGTGAGTTCAACTATGTTCTTACTGGCTTTCTGCCTGTTGGACCTATCCATTTTTGATAGAGGGATATTAAAGTCTGCAACTATAATAGTGGATTAATCTATTTATCCTTGCAGTTCTGTCAGTTTTTGCCTCATGTATTTTGATGCTTTGTTGTTGGGTGCATACACATTAAAGATTGTTATGTCTTCTTGAGAGTATTGACCCTTTTTTTAAATCATTATATAATGTTCTTCTTTATTCCTGATAACTTGTTTGCTCTGAAATCTGCTCTGTCTGAAATAAATATCGTTACTACATTTTTCTTTTGATTAGTAAGATCATGGTATATCTTTTTCCATTCGTTTAATCTATATGTGTCTTTATATTTAAAGGGGATTTCAGCTGGACAACAAATAGTTCATATAGTTGGTCCTTGTTTTTTGATTCCTCTGACAATTTTCTTTCTTTCTTTCTTTCTTTTTTTTTAAGAGTCTATTTCTGCCTCTCAGGCTGGAGTGCAGTAGTATAATCACAGCTCACTGTAACCTCTAATTCCTGGGCTCAAGCCATCCTCCTGCCTCAACCTCCCAAGTAGCTAGGACTCCAGGCATGTACTACTATGCTCAGCCAATTTTTAAAGTTTTTTTGTAGAGACAGGGCTTTGGTATGTTACCCAGGCTAGTCTTGAGCTCCTGGTTTCAAGTGATTCTCCCACCACAGCCTCCCAAAGTGCTGGAATTACTGGCATGAGCCATTGCACCTGGCCAACAATCTGTATCTTTTAATTTGTGCATTAGGCCACTGACGTTTATGGTGATGATTGATATAGTTCAATTAACACCTGCTACATTTGTTACTGTTTTCTATTTGTTGCCCTTATTCTTTCTTCCCATTTTTTCCACTTCTTTTATGCATTTTGTGGTTTTAAAGGAGCATTTTATATGATTCAATCTTCTCTCCTTTCTTATCAATTATACTCATTTTTTAAAAGCTTTTTTTTTTTTAAAGTGGGTGCTCTAGAGTTTGCAATACATGTTTACAACTAATTCTACTTCACTTTCAGATAACACTATAACACTTCATGGGTACTGTGAGTACCTTACGATAACAAAGTATTCCTAATTCCTTCCTCAGCCCTGTTTCTTGTGTCTTCACTGCCATTCACTTACACACACACGCGCGCGCGCGCACGCACACACAGACATATATAATCAAATACATTGTTACTGTTATTTTGAACATGTTATTATCTGTTAGATCTATTAAGAATAAAAAAAGTAAATGTTTTTATTTTACCTTTATTTCTTCAGGTACTGGTTGCTGTGAAGGTTTCTGCTCTGCTAAGTTGTGATTCTCTGTATCTGCCTGTCTGTCTCCAGTTTTTGGGGTGGTGGTTTTCCCTGTGACCTCCCTTCTCTGATAGATCTAAGAAGAGTTGTTGATGTTCCTGTTTGTTTAGCTCTTCACTTTTTGGGTTGCAGTGAAGACTTGTTAGCTGCTTACATGCCAGATTAGAAACTGGAAGTCTGTGTATTTTCATAAAAGGGATACAATACATAAAGAGATACAATCTATTGGAATATTATACTGTAAAGTTAGAAAAAAGCTAGAATGAAGCTACCGCTTTCTCTTCTATTTTTGTGATTTTAAGCCAGGAAAAATGAGAGGATCTAATTCCCTTCAGAGAGATTTCTTACTCTCACTGTGGGTAGCTCTGGAGCCCTTCTATATGAATATGTTATCAGTATATTGTAATGTATTCAGTGTCCTCTGGGGGCCTGGCAGTGTGCTGGTACTCTGCACACATTCATGCCAACAAACTTGAAAGGTAGAGATTATTTATCAACATTTTTTTCTGATGGGGAGAGGCTCAGGTTAAATGGCCTCTCTAGTGCCAAAAAAACTGTAACCAAGGAGTAAAAATATAAGCTAGATAGCTTAATCTACAAAGTCAGAACCTTTTCTATTATTTATAGATAATTCACTACTTCTGTATTTTCAGTATTTAAAGTCTGCACTGTCCAATATTGTAGCCACCAGACACATGTGGCTACTGAGCACTAGAAATATGGCTAGTCCAAATTGAGATGTCGATTTCAAAGACTTAAAATGGATATATCTTGTTAATAATTTTATATATTGACTAAGTGTTGAAATGATGATAGTTTAGATATATTGGGTTAAAGAAAGTATATTATTAAAATTAATTTTACTTGTTTCTTTTTATGTTTTTAATGTGTCTACTACAAAATTTAAAATTACATTTTTAGCTTGCACTATATTTCTGACAGCTCAAATCTCAAGAGAAGGTGAGAGAATTGGTGAATTTTATTGTCCTGCACATGCCCTAATTAACAAGGGTGACTTTGTTAATTTGTGCTCTGTGTCCTAGGCTGCTGAATGTGGCATGGACCACTCCCTTGCAGTTGTATGTAATGTTCACTCTCTGCTTAGAGAATCTGAGCTTTTTAATTGTGCCTGCCAGAGGCTCATCCCTTCAGCTCAAGGTCAGCGAGATATTTTGGCTCACACCCAGATGTCCCACTTTCTTAGCTGGCTGTGTGCCAGGCTGTCTGTCTGCTGCTGTGTTGCACTGTCTCTAAGCCACCAAAGTCAGTGTTACCTTGTTCCCCTGCAGATCTTGTGAGACAGTCCATGGGGAGCTTTGGCCCTGAAAGACTTGGCTAAAGGCCTGTGAGTCTTTAGAAATGGTGCCAGAAGCCCTGTGGAGAGCAGCGTGATTCTGGCGAAAATGCAAATATCTTCTATATACAGACGTCTCATACACCTTACCCCACATTCCAACACCTCGTTGGCTTTACTTAAAGGGCACATCATAATTCTTGTTGTCTTACAAATTTTGAGTAAACTTTTCAGATGCCCAACCAAATCCTGGGTTATGAGCTCCTTTGAATGATGAATGAAGCAGAAAAGTAAAAATAATAGGTTATTTTACTTTCCATATTGGTTGTCTGTTTCAAATCTGTTTTTACTAAGCTGAAACCAAATGAAATTCTCATCATATGTACTTAATACACTTTCATTCATTCATTAATAAAGCATCATCTGGGCAATAGGCACTGCAGGTGACCCAAATAATACATACTCCCTTCCCTCAAAGTACTTTTGAAAGCCACATATGTAAATGGACACAATATAAGCTAAATGCCAAATTGCATTTAAGGGTCTCAACAGAGTGCTTTTTGTAGGTAAGAGGGGAAAGAACCTTTGACCAGGATGATCAGGGCAAACCATCAAGGAGAAGGTATAATTTGGGCTGAACGTTGAGGGATTAAGAGAGCCTACTCCAACAAAAGAAAGGATGTTAGGGTAATGGAAAGGGGTCAACAGTTAGGTGAGAATATGATGTTCTTGTTTGGGAGGAGCAGGAGATGAGGTCAGGAAGGTGGGAGATCACACTGAATATAATTATTCAATGCCAGGCTGAGGATTGTCAATCTATTTTTCTCCCTATAATAACGTTAGGGTAAACAAAATAAAATTATTTCAAGAAACATATACAATGAAATAATAAAACATAAATGAAAACTACCAGACAAGGGGAAATACAAATTAAAATAAGAAGACAAGAACAGATGACATTGCTAAGGAAAAACTATTTATAAGCCTCCTAGTGGCCAAAGCAAAAAGGAACATAAGATTGATAAAATTATTACTGTCCATGAGAAAAAAACTAATTCTATGAGAAAAGTGACACCAAATTTAAAAGAAATTTCTTATGTGGGTTTAATAATGTATAGAAAATTCTTTAATCATATAGATTTATTTAAATGTCCTTTTATAAAATAAGAGAGAAAATACTGTGTATAGTGGTGCTTTCTAAGTAGAATGTGCATACAGTCACCTGGGATCTCATTAAAATACAGATCCTCTTTTGATTACTATAGCCTTATAGTATGTATCAAGTTGGGTAATGTGATGTCTCCAGCTTTGTTCTTTTTGCTTAGGATTGCTTTGGCAATTCAAGCTCTTTTTTAGTTCCATATGAATTTTAAAGTAGTGATACGGTTTGGCTGTGTACCCACCCAAATCTCATCTTGAGTTGTAGCTCCCATAATCCGCATGTTTTGTGGGAGGGACCCAGTGGGTGATAATTGAATCATGGGGGCAGTTTTCCCCATACTGTTCTCATGGTAGTGAATAAGATCTGATGGTTTAATAAGGTGAAACCCCTTTCACTTCACTTTCATTCTTTCTTGTCTGCCACCATATAAGACATGCCTTTGCTTCTCCTTCACTTCTTCCATGATTGTGAAGCCTCCCTGCAATGTGGAACTGTGAGTTCATCAAACCTTTTTTTCTTTATAAATTACCCAGTCTTGGGTATGTTTTAACAGCAGCATGAAATTGGACTAATACAGTAAATTGGTACTACTGGAATGGGTTGCTGCTGTAAAGATACCCAAAAATGTGGAAGCAACTTTGGAACGGGGTAACAGGCAGAGGTTGGAACAGTTTGGAGGTCTCAAAAGAAGACAGGAAGATGTGGGAACATTTGGAACTTCCTAAAGACTTGTTGAATGGCTTTGATGAAAATGCTGATAATAATATGGACAATGAAATCCAGGCTGAGGTGGTCTCAGATGGAGATGAGGAACTTGTTGGGAACTAGAGTAAAGGTGACTTTTGCTATGTTTTAACAAAGAGACTGGCAGCATTTTGCCTCTGCCCTAGAGATTTGTGGAACTTTGAACTTCAGGGAGATTATTTAAGGTATCAGGCAGAAGAAATTTCTAAGCAGCAAAGCATTCAAGAGGTGATTTGGGTGTTGTTAAAAGCCTTCAGTTTTAAAAAGGGAACAGCATAAAAATTTGGGAAATTGCAGCCTGACAGTGAGATAGAAGAGAAAAACCAATTTTCTGAGGAGAAATTCAAGCCAGCTGCAGAAATTTGCATAAGTAACAAGAAGCCATATGTCAGTCAGCAAGAAAATGGGAAAAATGTCTCCAGGGCAAGTCAGAGACCTTTGTGGCAGCCCCACCCATTACAGGCCCAGAGGTCTAGGAGGGAAAAATGGTTTTATGGGCCAGGCCCAGGGCCCCCTGCTGTGTGCAGCCTAGGAACTTGGTGCCGTGTGTCCCAGCTGCTGAAGTCATGGCTAAAAGAGGCCAAGGTACAGCTTGGGCCATGGCTTCAGAAGGTGCAAGCCCCAAGCCTTGGCAGCTTCCATGTAGTGTTGAGCCTGTGGGTGCACAGAAGTCAAGAATTGAGGTTTGGGAACCTCCGCCTAGATTTCAGAGGATGTATGGAAATGCTTGGATGTCCAGTCAGAAGTTTGGTGAAGGGGTAGCGCCCTTATGGAGAACCTCTGCTAGGGGATTGTGGAAGGGAAATGTGGGGTTGAAGGCTTCACACAGTCTTCACTGGGGCACTGCCTAGCCGAGCTGTGATAAGAGGGCCATCATCCTCCAGACACCAGAATGGTAGATCCACTGACAGCTTGCACCATGCTCCTGGAAAAGCCGCAGACACTCAACACTAGCTCAGGAAAGCAGGTGGGAGGGAGGATGTACCATGCAAAGCCACAGGGGAAGAGCTGCCCAAGACCATGGGAACCCACCTCTTCTATCAGTGTGACCTGGATGTGAGACATGGAGTCAAAGGAGATCACTTTGGAACTTTAAGATTTGAATGGCCCGTTGGATTTTGGACTTGCCTGGGGCCTTTAGCCGCTTTGTTTTGGCCAATTTTTCCCATTTGGAAGGGTGTATTTACCCAATGCCTGTAACTCCGTTGTATCTAGGAAGTAACTAACTTGCTTTTGATTTTACAGGCTCATAGGTGGAAGGGACTTGCTTTGTCTAGGATGAGACTTTGGACTGCAGACTTCTGAGTTAATGCTGAAATGAGTTAAGCCTTTGGGGGACTGTTGGGAAGGCATGATTGGTTTTGAAATGTGAGGACATGAGATTTGGGAGGGGCCAGGGTGGAATGATATGATTTGGCTGTGTTCTCACCCAAATCTCATCTTGAATTGCAGCTCCCACAATTCCCACGTTTTGTGGGAGCGACCTGGTAGGAGATAATTGAATCTTGGCGGCAGTTTCCCCCATACTGTTCTCATGGTAGTAAAGAAGTCTCAGTGCACTTCCAGAGGGACTATCTGTTAACTAGCATGTTGGGTAAGTAGAGATCAGTTAGTGTGACTCCAAGAGAACCAAGGCCAGAATTAGGCTTTCAGAGAATTAGGCTGTATAGAATATATGAAGGTCTGGGTGGGCAGTGTTCCTGCAACAGTATTCCTTAACTGTCTTATCTTGGCTTTTGATGAAAGCTGGACAACAGCTAATTCTCCACTGTGTTATCTTGCCAGGCTTTAGAGGAAGCACAGCCCTGGGAATCTCCTGGGAATCTTCTTTATTCTGAGTAGGGTTCAGTGCATAGTAGCTGTAGACTGGGATAGTTCTGCATGGTCCAGCTCATTTGGAACAAGACAGTTTGAGGTGATGTTAAATCCATAAAACTTCTGGTCGTCACCAAGGAGCAAGGCTCACTGAGGATCAGCCTGAACTTCTATGCCTAACCAGTGACACGCAAGTGACAGAATAGGACAAAATATTTTCAGCATGTGAGATACAAAAGAATCAGTGCCCTGAACATATAAAGAATTCTTACAAATAGTTAAGAAGAAAACAAACCCAATTGCCAAAGGGATAAGGTATCTGGACAGGTAATTTACTCAAGAGGTTCTCAGGGAATGAAATACTGGATTAACAAAAAAATTAACGGACTTATAATATTCAAGGTTAACAAGGATCCAGGTCAACAGGCACACACACACTATGTGATTATGTAAACTGATAGTCTTTTTAAGGGTAATCTCACAAAAAATGTGTCTCAAGTACCCCCAGGTGCCAGCATTGCTTTATGGGCCGGGAATGTAGGAGTAAAAAAAATTCTTATTCTCATAAAGCTTAGCTTTTAGTGGAGGGAGATAGACAATAAACAGGTATGCTCTGGTTGATAAAAGCTGAGAATAAAATAAAGCAAGGTAAGAGATGAGAATGGGTGGGGTGCTATTTTATATAGAATGGTCAGGGGCAGCCTCAGATAAGGTAATATTTGACTATTTGCATCTGTTAGAAGAAAGATTTATATCTATATGCATAGGCATTAAAAGAGCTTCAACCTATTGTTTATTGAAAATAGCAAGTTACAGAAATGTGTCGGGTATGATCCCTTTATATTAAAAAGGTATGTGTGTATGTATTTAAAAAAATATACATATAATGCATTAAGGCAATACAATAAATTCATAGTGAGGCATGCACACACACACATATGCACACTCAACCCTGGTTGTCTCTGGGATTAAGTTTGCACAGGTAGTGGTAGGAAGGAGAGAGATAATGTACTTTGTGGGTAATTTCTTTTTTAAAGAAAGTAAAATAAGATACTGAAAAGGCACAGTAACATTTGGAAAATATTACAAAAATAGAATATGATGACGATAAAACATATTAAAACTTTTTTTAAAAAAACAAGGATTTGGAGGCCATGACCTTAAATAAAAAATATCAGCAGGCTTAAAAACAAGAGAGAGAATCAAGTAAATGGTGGCTTGTTACGGTGGAGGAAGGCACAGTTGGGAGCCACAATTTACATTGCAGTACCCCCGACCCTTGTGTGATGAGACCTTGGACCGCTTAACCATTCCGTGCTGTTTGCCTCACCTGTAAAATGGAGACAATTACTTCTGGGAGCAGTTGTGTGTAATAGATGAGTTGATTCATATGCAATGCAGTACATTGCTTGGCACATAGTTAACAGCTTACTAAATGTTAGCTGTTAAAAGCATTCTCAGTTCCACTAAGTGAGGGGCTCCAATGGCTCCACACAAGAAAAGCAGCCCACCTGCAGAAGGTGGGACCTCTTGACCTTTTCTTTAGCATCTCAACACTTCACAGATATCTGTCATGGTTGAAAAATGTATGTTGGGTAATTAGAGTACAAACTGACTGACTGGTGTGTGGTATAGAAGTCAGGGAACAAGTGTGGGACACAATGAAGCTCAGGTCCTGACTCAGCTACTTAATTGCTGTCACCTTTGTTAGTTAAAAAATAAATGGCTCTCCCGACTCCTGCTAGGGTGCTATTTGCACTTATGGAGAGAGGAAAAACAACAGTCAGACCCCCTTTGCTTTGCTGACATTTATTTGCCTTAAGCTGTGCAACTGATCCTCAGGAAGTCAAGGGGTTTAGTTGTTTTCCTGGATTTCTAGGAAAAGTAAGTTTGCACATCTCAAACTGAGTAATCAACTTTAAAACAAATGACTAGATATGTATTAGTTGCCACAAAGCAACTTTCAAATTCTGCCCATTGTACAACTTCCATTGTACCTGGCGAAGTGGGTGACACATTTAATTTTGCTGAGGACAAATGTTAAGGGACGCTACCTGAACTACCATTGAGGGAAAAGGAACGCAGAATTTCCTGGTATTCCACTGGATACCCCTTTTTCTTGCTGCTTCCTTAATACAGCCTCTCCCTTTTCCTTCCACAATGGTGTTGCCAAGTAAGCCAAAGTATGGAATGAGTTGTCCCAGGGCAGGTGATCATGCCAGGGTCACCGTGCATTAATAGCTTTGGGACAAAGCCAGGTATGTTCACAGGAAACCTAGGCAACCACTCTAAGTCCTGACCTACCAAAATTTTCTCATGGATTATGTAAATGATCATATACCACTTGTCAAGCCAGACTCGGCAGGGTTTCTCTTGCCCTTTAAACTTTCTCTTCATTTCTGTCTTCTTTCTGTTCATTTTTCCTCTCTCCTTTTTATTTAATTATTGCTTTCATTCTCTATGTCCTGTTCTGTGCATTTCCTATATTATTTCCCATCTTGTTTGCTATATAACACACTCACTAACATTGCGTTCATAATTTTCCGTTTATTTTCATATCACACATGTGTTCAAAATAGACATTGTCTCAGATGAAAAAAGTTGTCATATACCAAGCTAGAGCAGGCTTAGCTAGACTGCCATTTCTCCATGAAATCTTATTGACCATTCTTTTTAAACGCTTCATAGCTTTTTTGAGAAATAACCATCTTTGGGGAATGAACTGTAATTTATTGGGAGACGTTAGCTTTAGTAAATACTTAAGTACTCTCATGATAAAGGGACCAAGCAACATTTGTCTCTGTTCCTGCATGTTTAAGAATTTAAGCATAAAAGCCGTAGCAATGTTCCTGGTGGATTGTTGCCCCAAAGTTAATATGCTTCTGAAGATTCAGGACAGTTTCTGTGGAGTATATTGCCTAATAACTGTTGTGACCGGTGCTTATATATTTTGTTCTTGGCTCTTAAACTTGTGCTTGGGGTGTAGTGTTCAGTTTATTGAAGAAGGAACAAAAAAGCAGTGGCTTTATGAAACTCATTTATTCACTTTATCAGGATTGCTTCATTGTTTGTCAACTCAAAATATTAGTGGGGATTTAGGGAAATAATCTTGCTCTCTAATTAGATGAAATGGGAGGCTTATTGCTGCAGCCATAAATGATCTTTTAGGTGTTACTAATTCAACTAAATCTCAGATGTCCAATTTGTGCAGCCTGTTGATGATATTATTCAGTGAAAAATGGTTGGGGAGATTGGGAATGATTAAGAAAATTAGTCTTGCTCACAACTTAATGATAACACTTGAGGATAATGTAAAAACAATAGCAACTTTGAAAGTCAAGATGGGTCATCCAGCAATGAACTATTACCCAACTCAGTCGCCAAGATTTGGATCATTAAGTGCTCAGCTACATAAGGAAGAAATGAATTACTAATTTGTGTTGTTAAGGCTAATGTTCTTGTTTAGTGTTTAGACTGACCTATAAGTTCCTGCGCTGTCCTGAATGAAGCCTTGCAGGATGGAAATATGGCAAGGTTGCCAGCTGGGCTATACTCACAGGGGTCCCAGATTATCTCTGTCCGGGAAGCAGTGGTGGGAAACGGGTAAAAATATTCTCCACATGGGGTCTCCACTTCTCTGGCATCAATAATCCAAGCTACAAGTTCTTGCTATTCTTTATCTTTGTCCTTACTGTGCCTAAATTTATCTTTATCCATTCTCAGCCTTTTTTCAAGGAAAAGAAGTATTGTGAGGGCAATGAGGATCCACGTCTTTACATCCATTTCTTTGCTTTGCATAAAGTCCTCAGTATTTATTTTCCTTTAGGGATGCTGGCTTTCTTAGGTAGGGGATCTATTATAATAATTGATTTCAAGTCCACTAGGCTGAGATGGCTCCAGTGCCTTTGTAAGCAAACCAAAACCTAACTCAACCTAAATACTAAAATAAAACTTTAGTTTAACCAATCAGAAATTGCTAACCAACCTGTAACTAGAGATTTTCAGCCTAAATCAATCAGATATTTTCTTTGTCTTGCTTCCACAAACACCTTATACAAGTTTTCCCCTTGCACCCTCTCAGTGGAGTGCTGAACCACTTGTAGTCTGAGACTGCTGGGTTCATGAATTGCTGAATGCTCAAATAAACTTGTTAAAATTTTAATGTGCCTAAGTTTATCTATTAACAGGTCATTCTTATCAGGGGATTGAAAAGGAACTGAAAAATACAAAAGTGATGTACTTTTATAGAAGATAATGAAGATCAGAAATCTTAAGGCTGCCATACAGATCAGAGGTTTCACACGTTCCTTTGATTAGGCAAACTCACTCAAGGCAATTAACAAAAGAGTTCAGGCTAACACTTTGGGGTCCATTTAATCAGAGACTAGCCTAATGGGTCAATTCTGAGGCTCTACTAAGGCTCTAAGAGCCAAAGCAGCCTTTGGCTTTCTAATAGTGAAAAGGACAAAGTTTTAAAGCAGACATGTGTCTGCTAATAACCAGGGCTCAATCCTTAAAATTAATTCTGAAGCCTCCAGTTTTATACTTGGCAACTCCAAAATACTGAATTATTATTAAGCTATTATGATACTTTATGTATGCTTATTATTTTAGTGTCCATCAAAAGAAATATTTCATGTAGTGGCTTTAATAAAATTTATTTTCTTAATAAAAACATTGGCCATATCATGTGCTGGATAGTAGAGAAACTTCACCTACATTTTGAAGAAGATCGATCATGGATAATTAAACTTAAGCAAAAAGGGCCGCTTAGTTTTAACTGGCCAAATAGTGGCATCGAATCTCAGAGAGGACCAAAACAGGGTTTAAGAAGGCAGGTCTTATAGATTGAATCTTATTCAAATGACCTAAATGTCAAAAGTAGTATGATTATAAACCTACGAAAAAGTGAGAAAAATCCATTTCTAGGTTATATTGTTAAGTTAAAAAAAGAAAGGTACAACAAGTATATATAATATGCTACATTTTGTGTATGGCCAGCACAGAAAATGAGAATATATATTTGATTTGCATGTATTTGCATAAAGAAACCTTGGAAGGATAAACAATAAACTAATAAAAGTGGAGGAATGAAGTGGATGGAGACTTGGGTGGTAGCATGACTTCCCCGAGTATACCTTTACATTGCTTTGAGTTTGAAACAAGTAAATGTATTACTTACTCAAGAACAAAAATGAAAAGACAAAAACATGATGAGATATTTTGTTGGAAAAGTTAAACCTAGAGGGAATATTTGCAGAAGATGTAAAGTGTGACATTTCAACATAAGTACAACATTGTGATGTAGCAGAAAGGTCAATAAGCTGAGAGAGAGGAGACATGGGCCCAGTTTTACCACAAACTACTTTAGCATCATTTAACACTGGATTGACAAATGGGTTTAATGTTTGATGTCATTTATGTTTATGATTAAATATGAAAAGTCTGCCTGAAGCGTTCTGTCCAGAAGGATTTTAAGGCCACACCTGTGTGCAGTAGAAAAGATTGCTTTAATTGATTAGTGATCTCTGCTGTGGGTAGAGGATAGGAGAGTGATGGTGTGCATGCATTCTATTTGTCCTTGTGATTTTTTTTAGTCATGTACAAGATTAGGGGCTTAGAACAGATTATCTTTAAGTCTCATAGTTTAAAAATGTTAATAATAAACAGAATATGTTCCAAAAAGATAAAGCAAAGAAGGAGGGGAGGGTATGGTCAATTGTGGTCCTGTAGCTTCAGACAAGTTCCACCTCTTGGTGGGTGAACAGGCTGGAATGGTCTAGCATTGAGTATTCCTTAGTCATTCTGTTGGAAGGTGTTCAGGGCAAGGATGCAACACTTTCTCAGGGAATGTGCTGGAGACAATTTTTGGAGTACAGAAAACTTGATAGCTTCCATTCCCACTTCAGTTTCTGGAACATTATAACAACTAAAGAGTCTGCTACAGGAAACTTGGAAGAGCCTCCAAGGCGGCCAGTTGTCTGTGGTGTTGGGGAAGAGCTGAGTGACTGATGGAAATGGAGACGGCTCATCTCTCCTGAAAGCCTAGTGGAAGGACAGATTTTTGTGGCTTCTTCAGAGCCTAGGCAGGAGAAGTCTGTGGGTCTTCTTGAAAAAGAATTGCCCTGTCCATGTGGCATTTGTGCTTCCTGATGAACTGCTTGATCATACTTTCCCTGAAATTTGAGAGCCATGGTTCTAGTCTAAGGCCAGGTGACTGTGCAAGAAGCCAGTTTGCAAGAGGAAGGGGGCTGGCTTTCCATCATCTGAGCAGGACATCATGTAGAGATCCCCTAAGGCATGAAGGGGATTGCTAGTGTTGTAAGGACCTTCAGAGTCTTGGAGATGAGACAATTCAAAGCTCCTGATGCCATAAGTCTGCAGAGAGATAAAAGACATGTAGAGAGCTGACCAGAGCCCATCTGGGATGGCAGTTCCCTTTTCCTCTTAGCTGCTTGGAACCTCTTGTGCCCTGGAGCTCCCGGCAAAGCAGGCTGCACTCTGCCATGTCAGCCCCAGACTCCCAGCCTCTGCTTACCAGATGGGGCCCTTCCCATATGGTGTCCCAGCCAGACAAAAGCTTCTAGGCTGTCCTGTCCAATACAGTAGTCCCTGGCCAGCTGTGGCCATTTAAATTAAAATCAATTAAGATAAAATAAAAATTCCAGTTCCTCAGTTGCACTAGCCACATTTCAAGTGCCCGGTAGCCATTCGTGGCAAGTGGCTATCGAATTGGATTGCACAGGTCTAGCTCATTCCCACCATCACAGAATGTTCTGTTGGACAGTGCTGCTCTAGAATGTGTATGTAGAAGTCACCACAGACAGATGGATTCACCAGTGAAAAGCTTCCAGCAGGGAAAACACAGGTAAGAGCCCCTGGGATTTATCTTTTACCAAAGCTCCCCAGGTGGTGACAATCTTTCCAGTCTCACTCTAACCCTCAAAGGAGGAAAACCAGAGTTTCCTTCCAGCCTCCAGCAATGCCTTCTAGGTCACTATTATTTGAAGTCCGATCTGTGGACCAATAGTGGTCTGTGAACTGTTTGTATTGAGGTTGAGAGTAGGCATTTAGAAACTTACAGAATTTTTTTTTGTCATTGCCATGACATCCAAGCATGTGGTCAGGTGACTTGTCTCCCTGAAGAGTATCTAGACCAATTCAGGGTTTGGAATTCGGCAGGCACAGTAGAACCAAGTTATTTACAGCAGGTGATATTTTAAAATTAATTGGTAAACTCAAATCTAAAAGTGTATAAAATCCAAAATCCACTGCTTTCATTAAAATAACACAAATTTAACTACAACTTTACAGGATAAATTGTTGTGAGTTGCTACTGATAAGGATAAAAGAATAAGGATTCTTTTATTGAATAAGGACAAAAGATTAACAAGGATAGAAGTTAAGTTTTGCAAATGTAGTGTCACTTGCTTCATTTTAGATAAAAGTTGACAATGAATATTCTGATCTTGCTCAGATGCCTTTAAAATATCTTATTCTGTCCTTGCCAACATACCTCTGGTTAAGACTTGTTTCTCTACTATCAGTTTTATTAAAAGAAAACATAGAAACTAGATACCTGTCATGCCCTGTAAGCAGTATTGTTGCCAATTCAATTTGATTTAGATAAGTTAATAAGCAAGAAACAAGTTCCTTTGTAACATTAGAAACCTTAAATGTTGATATGTATAGTGTTTGTACAAAGTATCTACACAGTACTTACCACAGAGACCATTATTTCTTTCATAACTTTTTGTTTTCATTGCACAATGAGTAAAAGCGGCTAGTATAATAAGCATTTTCTATATTAATCTGTAAACATACTTTCAATGAATCATTCATATGGTTTTGGGATTCTTTTATTTTATCCCATGCTGTTTGTTTTGATTGTATGTATTAAAATTTATTTCTATGTGTATTGAATCTAATAACAAAAGATTGGGGCTTATATTTCATATGTTTTTACTTTTGTATTTCTTTTTTTCTAGTAATTCATTTATATAATGTTTTACCAAAAATGTCTGCAAAAGATTAAATTAAAAAAATAGTCATTCAACCACAGATGATTTGAACAGCATGTCTACACTGGACCAGGTTGCTTTGCTGTTCTTTCCTGGGAGCAGCTCGCAGGAGATGCCTGGAAGCGGGCTGGCTGTGTCCTCAGGGCTGAGTTTGCAGACTGCCGGTTTAAAATGGAGATCTGCTGAGCCATTGTGGAAGAAAGTTCTCAGGACAATTCCTAGTTCAGCAAAACTGTGGGCTTAGAAGGGAGCATGGCAGGGAAGGGAGTGATAAAGCAAAATATTCAGGTGGCAGGGCATAATTATATTATTTTAATTTAGACACATTAATAGAGCAATACAGATCCAATTATCAGCAAGATTAATAAACACAGCTTAAGTTTCCAATTAGTGGAGGTAGAGATGGAGGTGGAGGGGTGATGAAGGCAAGGGAATGAAAAAAATGTGACCAAGTCAGCCAACGTAAGAAAATAGAAAAGAGGAAATAACAATAAAGAATAAGGAATAGTAAACCTAAAATCAGATGAAATGGCAAGGCATGTGCATCTCTTTTCATGTAAGATATGAATGGTCTAAAATCATCAATCAAATAACAGAAAACTTCAGATTGAGTTCAGAAAATATTACACTATCTGTTGCTTATAGATATTTCACACACCACAAAGTGGCCAAGAAAGTTTGAAAAGTTCTTGTAGATGTGTGACAGTCATGCAGTATGCACTTCATATAGCTGTTTATTATTTAATTTTATGAGGGATGTTGACCAGCTGTGGTTTTAGAGAATTAAACTGGGCTTGGATTCATGCTAAAGGAAATAAACAAACTTATGGAGAAAAAGACATCACTATCTTTTCATGATTCTCACTGGGAACATTGTTCTGCTAGAAGTGGAGAAAACAGGAGAGACAGAAGGAGAATCAGTCTCTTTAGGATATGTCTTGCCAAGAGGGCATGTTTCCTACCAGTTGGATGGAACCCTGTGGTGGTGGCGGTGGCTAGGCAGCTTCCTGGGAGCACTTCTTCCTGCCGTTCTCCTTACAACCCACCAGGAGCCTGTCCTGGCGGGCGCTTTAGAAGGCAGGACTGCCTTGGGATGCATTGGGTTTTTCCACCCACACTAGTTCCCGCCCTTTGGGGACAGGAAAAGGCAGTTGGGATCCAAATAGACTGATTACTCTCTTTTATGGAATTCCTCCAGATACAACAGTAATTCAGTTCACATTGCTCATCAACGTGCAGGCCACATGTCTCTGGATGGTCCCTGTATATTTGAACATTCTTCACTTGCTCTGATGTTTTCCCCAGCTTCCAGATGTTCTTGGGAGATTACAAAACAGACAAGAATAGAAATTGAAAATTTTGAAAGCATATTTTAGTCTCTATATAATATAAATTTAGCGTAAGTCAAGCTAAGAGATTAAACCTGATGTGCATAAGAGTATTTTCTTTGGATGCAAATGTAGAGGAAAAACACACATTTGATGTTGGAAACTAAGTATGCTTATTTTCTGTTGGCCTTTGCCTTGAACCTAGTTCTGTAATGGGCACATAGCAGATATTCAATACATCGTGTTAAATTAATGTCATTTAGCAAAGTGAATTTTATCCACAAACTTTTGTCATAATAAAAACATGATTCGGAGTTGTTATGTGGTCTGATCCACGAAGAAGAGCTAAAATTACAATGCTGAGCTAAAAGTTGAAGTGAAATGTACCCAGTTAGAATCATGTAAGCAAACAGGGTTATTAGTACTAGTAGTACTTGAAAATGTGAGTGGAAGACTAAATGACAGAGATGTTTTGCATTGACTTTCATGTTTTCTCCTCAAGTCCAAGATACATTGCACTAAAGGTTGGAGTTCCAGTCATGTAGAGTGAAGACAGGTCTTCATATTAAACACAGCTAGAGCCTAAATGAGAAATAAGTTCCCTTTTCATTGAAACAACTGAACATTTTCTTTCTGAGTTTGCCAATTGTAGATGGTTGGTGGGCAAGAGAATGTATGCTTTGAACATTATTGGAGTTGTTGTGTGAGCATGAGAGAGACTCAACCTTGTCAATAGAATCAGTTTGTCCCCACTATCCTAGCCCGGATTATTACCTACTCTATTCTCAAGATGTAATCAAAAGAGAAGATACCTCTAGCACAAAGCCACGACCATCTGTAGACAGATGATGCAGTGGCCTTTGAACTGGTGGTGACCAGAACAGTAGCCTCATGGGAATGAAAGTGTTTTTATAACACTGTGCCATATTACCTCTGTTTTTTGAAAGACTTCAAGAATATATGTAAGACAGTTCTTATAAATTTTCATCATTTATGGGTGGTGTCCAAACATTTAGACATTTGGAGTTTATCTTGTTGGTATGCATGCATTAATACCCAGGGACCTGCAGGAACCAAATTCTAGATGTGCATTTTTCACTCTTACGCTACTCTTAGAAATATTTTGAGCTTGTCATTGTCTGGCAGATGCAGGGAACATGGGCATGGAGAGTTCCGAATACTGATGCTGTGTTGGAACTTAGTAATTCCCTCAGGAAATGTTGGGTCCCTCCCAATCTCCTGCCATCTCTTTTACTGCCCTTAGCTAAGTCCATCACACCCCTTGCTATAATCCTGGGCAATCTCTATGCTGAGAAAACTCTTCTGACGCCATTCGCGGGCTTTCGTCTGTGTTCTTCCTCGATCATACACTTGGCTGTAAAATAATATTTTACCATGAGGTGTCGCTGTCTAACACATAATGTAAGCAATAAAGTAAAATAATTTCAATTTATTTTTAAAAATCACCTGATTGATACTGTAACACATTAAATATGTAGATTTTGAATTTTTTGCTTTAGATAAGAAATTCAGACAGAAAAAACTGGCAAATCTTCAGTTGGAATTTTTTAAGTAAATAAAATGTCGAAGTTTATTTTATTTACTGGAAAGATTGCTAAGGAAAATCCAAGTCTTTTAGGTTGTCATTCTGAGCAATCTCTGACTTATTTCAAATCTACATTTCCGAAACTGTTTCTTTTGATAAAGAAGAAATCTGTCTTTAAGTACACCACACACCTTAGTCATATTGTGCTGTTTGTCACTGTTTGGATATTTGTATACTTTTCCATGCTATCTCATTTATTAGGAATATTCTTCCTTCACCCTCCAATGTTATCTGTTTAAAACCTACTTACTTTTACAAAGAAGCTTGGATACTAAGTTCTCTTAGTCCTCTATGAAAACTTTCTTAGTATTTTCAAATGGAAGCACTTATCCCTACTTTTAGGTCTGTATGCCTTTTCTTTACCTTTTTTTTTTTTTTTTTTTTTTGAGGCAGGGTCGTACTCTGTCCCCCAGGTTGGAGTGCAGTGGCGTGATCTCAGCTCACTGCAATCTCCACCTGCCAGGTTCAAGTGATTCTCGTGCCTCAGGCTCCCAAGTAGCTGGGACTACAGGTGTGCGCCACCACACCTGGCAACTTATTTTTTTTTATTTTTATTTTGTTGGTAGAGATGGGGTTTCATTATGTTGCCCAGGCTGGTCTAGAACTCCTGGGCTTAAGCATTTCACCAGCCTCAGCCTCCCAGTGTAGATCTCTATGCCATTTTATTGTGCTTTTTATGCAGCATTTAGTAAAACACTAGCTCAAACAATATTCGTTCCTATTTTATCATGAAAGTGATGATGAATGATTATGATGTAATGACCACAAAGCCTAGAACAGTGCTTAAAGGTTAGTAAATGTTAGTGATGTTAGTTAAGTAAGTGAATTAATAATTTAAAACAACAGACAGAGGAAGATTGAATTCTAGTTGACTTTCGAAGCATTGCTAATTTACTGGGTGCTGGAGACTGGCCATACAATACTAATTAAAGAGTAATGATCAATGACAGTATCTAAATATATAAAGAAATGCATTCTATGCCGTGCTGTAGGAAACCAATCAGAACAATTGATTTACTGTCCATGATAATTGATGACATGAGAAAGTAAACAGGTCATCAAAGTGTTAGCAACTCTCTTTTGGGCTTCTAGCTTTTTAGCCCTGCTCTTCTGCACAAGTAAGAACACAGTTAGAAACATGATATATACCCTGTCTGTATTCAAGTCAGGAAAAGTGTTCCCTTTATCCATCATATTGGTGATAAAAATAATGTGGTACCGACAATACTGAAAGGGGAGAACAGAAAGTCTATCAAGGTAAAAATTAAGGAGATTGGAGTTTGAACTCACTCTTTAGTAACTCAGTCTATTAAAGAGAGATGAAGATCAGACTTATTGGAGTTTGAACTCACTCTTTAGTAACTCAGTCTATTAAAGAGAGATGAAGATCAGACTTATTGGAGTTCAAACTCATTCTTTAGTAACTCAGTCTATTAAAGAGAGATGAAGATTAGACTTACTTTTTTCTATCACTATTGGTCTTTGTGATTATTACTGGTAAGCTTGTTTGCCACCCTACTTAGCGCTCGAATGGAAATGGGCTATTTCAGTTACAACCCTCAGAAAAATCCCCTCCAAAGGTTGGTAAGCTGTCCCAGCAAGCAGAGATTCTACAAATCCTGATAGTCCCAAACACTCCATCCAGAACTAGCTGCCTATACTCATTGAAACCTATCCCCAAAATTCTGGTGCAGTATTGAGTCAACTGGCTATTATTTTAATTTTTAAAGTTATAGGAAATCATTTATAGAAATTAGAGCAGCTATACATTTTGTTTGATCAAATTACCCAGGACAGACCAAAATTTATGCATACTTTTGATGTATTTTCATCTTCTTTTAATGCTCTTCCACATTAAAGATTCTACTAAAAATAACTTAAAACAACCTTACAAAATCTAAAACACATACAAAGATTTCTAATGTGTGGTGATGACCAACCAGTGACATCTGATTCACCCTCTAACCTTTGCATTAAGATACTCACAAAAGTACATGGAGTTGCAGAGGCATAGTGTCATGGAAAATGTAAAAATACTTTTTTGACTTAGCAACATCTTGGGGAATTGCTTCTAACTGTCATGTGGTTGATCAGGAACCTTGATCTACGTATTACCAACAAGGAAATAGTGGGAAAAGGTAACCACCCATCCCTTTTGCTGTGTCCTATCTTAACTAACTGCTAGAATTTAGAAAAGTCTTCCCCATACTGCCCCACGATCACTTTCTAATGTGTTGAAAGCTATTCCTTTTCCCTAGTCAGAACCTGGAGAAAATCTATAGAATGCATGTAAACTATTAGCTTGGGGCGCTTTTTGTGCCTCAGTGTTTGAGTACCAGTATGCCAGATAGGAAGAGTGAGAGGCAGGTTTACAAGGCAAATGGAACCAAGAAGGTGTTTCAAGCTTCTGGGCTCCTCAGAGAGGATTTTGCAAAGAAGTTAGTGAGGAGTTTTCTCTGAATTGGACTGTGAGACAGGTATAAGTTCCTTTCCCATTTGGGGTGGGTCGCGGGGGGTGGGGGCTGTCACCTTCTAACCCTGCATCTAGAGAGGGAGGTTCAAGGGAACTGCACAAGGTGTTTGAAATGTGTTCTTTGTAGCTGGAAGACAGGGAGGACTGTGTCACAGGCATATCTGAGGAAGCTAAAGTGATTGCAAACCAAGATATCAGAGAGTAATATGAGTTTATGATTTTAAATATATGTGTACACACAGTTGGACAGATACAGAAATAAATTTAGATGTGTGAGTACACACACACACACACACACACACATTATTTAGCTATGTATTTAGTGAGGGCCTAGAGCCAATTATTCCCTAGTAGCAATGAGCACAGCAAGGACCTAGATCTTGGTTTCTAAGTACCATTATCCATTACAAATGGAACAGGGCTCTTTGGAGAAATCATTGTGTTCAGGTCTAGAGCAGGAAAAATACAGAAAGCATGAAACATCTTATGGCACTAAAAGCAAATGAAGCATGAAAAAGACAAGGATATGCCACAAGGATCTCCCAATGGACAAATCTAAGGGACTTTAACCAACAAAATATATAATGAGAATAATGGATTATAACCCATATAGAATAAGATAAAAACTCATGCATCCATACTTATATAAAGAAATAAATGAGGTAGAGGAGACTGCTCTTTATTGCTGTAGAAATGTAATTAGTAAGAGAATGGAAAGGTAAGCCATAGAGTAGAAGAAGGTATTTTGCAATACATATATCTGATGACGGATTAATGCCCATAATATATAAAGAACTTCTACAAATCAATGAGAAAAAGACAAACAACCTAATAAAAAATAGGAAAGTCCTTGAACAGACACTTCACAGAAGAGGATATTTAAAAGGCCAATAAGCACGTGAAACAGGAAAATATCACTAGACACCTACAAGAATGGATACATTTTAAAAAATTGACAATACTAAAAGTTCGGATTTGGAGCAAGTGAAGCTTTCATGCACTGCTTAGAAAACTGTTTGGCAAAAGCTGCCAGAGTTGTATATAAACATACTTTAAAACTCAGTATATATGCGCCAAAAGACACGTTTATAGCTCCAAACTGAACACAAACCAAATGTATACCAACAGGAAGAAAGGTAAATAAATTGTGACATATTCATAGAGTGAAATACTATAGAGCAATGAGAATGAACATTTCTGGCCGTTTATAACATGAACGGATCTCAAAAACATAATCTGGAACAAAGGAAGCTAGACACAAAAGGATACATAAAATATAATTCCATTTATATAACGTTCAAAAATAGGTAAAACTAATCTGTGGTGATATAAGGCAGAGTAGTAATTACTTTTGAGAACAATAAATTATTGGAAAGAGGCACAAAGAGGGTGGCTGAAGTGCTGATAATGTTTTAGTTTTCATCTTATTGTTGGGTACAAGGATACTACGTAAAAATTCAAGGTGCATATTTAAGATTTGTAAACTTTTCTCTGTATATTATATTTCAATTTAAAAGTTTACATTAAATAGGAAAAAACAAAACACCAAACCAAAGGAATAGTGTGGGACTGTTGTCTTTTTAGTACATCATAAATCATGCTTGTTCAATATACAGGTTTTTTATACTTACACATAGATGCACAGACACACAGATAGATCTAGATTCTATCTGTCACATATCTATCTACCTAGATCTATAGATATACCAATATTAATATAGCTATATTGATATACAGAACTATCTATAGATCTATCTATTTATCTATCTAGAGAAATACTCTGGGTGCACATAAAAAGACGTGTATAGGATCGTTATCTAGAGATCAATGCAATTTCTAGTAACGGTCTGACATTAAGACCAGGTCTCATGAAGTCTCTCAGACAAACATCTAGAGGGGCTATGTTCATCCATATTCAGTCAAAGGCTTGAGACAGGGACACTGGGTAGGAGTAAAGGGATGACTGCTTTTCCTATCTGGCAATCACCAGATGTGGTTAAAATTTCTCCTTGTTCAAAGATGCATAAACAAGGAAAAAAACACCAAATGAAATCCTTTAAAAAGCTCCATATAACATAAAAGTAGGGACCCACTGCTACAAAGTACTGTTAAAAAATATGCGTGAAAGTTCATCATGGTAAAAGAAGGAAATTAAGAATGCACCTGCTTTGAGTTATTAAAAGATAAAAAGGTTATCTGTAAAAGAGTATTTAAAAAGGAAGCTGATAAAGATAAAAAAAACTGCCAATATTAAGAAAAGAAGTCATAGAAATTAAACTCCATTGCGGAATGAAGATCCACACTGGGGACAGTTAGGGCAGAATGTTTTATATAATGAAGGAAAAAATATAAGAAATAAGATGATAGATATGGGAAATAGAATATGAAGCTATGAATAATTGGCAGCCTTGAGAATGAAACTGAATGAATAGACTAGAAATTATAATTAAATTAATAATTAAAGACATATAAAGAAAAGTTTCTGAAATCTGAAAAAATACCCGACTACAGACTGAGGAAAATGTTCCAGGCAAAATGAATAAAATGAGGAGCAGCATATGCTGGTGAAAATGTGATTTTCCAGTATAAAAACAATTGAAAGTTTTCAAGCAAGAAGGAAAAAAAAAGCAGCTTACTTGTAAGGGCATAAAATTTAGATTGGTCCTAAAGGACCACAGAACACTGATGCCAGACTTGTGTGTAGTGTGAAGCCCAAGTAATTGTTATAAATTGGTACCCAAATGAAGTAGAAGAATAAAAAATAAAAGAGAGGACAGGATGAGAAACAATTCAATTATATTTTAGGTGCATATTCTCAGGTTGTACTGGCAAGGATTGGAAAGTAAAAGGATGTTAAACAAATGCTTATACTACTATTGGGCTTTATAATTAATGTAAGTTCAAATTTGAAAAAAGATTATATCTATTAAAAACTAGCTCTACACTGTCCAAATCACTGAAAAAAATAAGTATATATAATATGACTGAACTTATTGGATATATATTATAGACTGAAAATTCAGCAAAATGCTGAATTTGAAAGTTTACATAATAGGAAAATATTTATTTTCCTTTTTAGAAAAAAATAAGCAAATATGATTTTGAAAAAGCTTGATTATATTCATTAAAAACTAGTCATACACTGTCCAAATCACTGAATACAATGAGTATATAGATGTGACTGAACTTATTTTATACATATTATAGACTGAAAATCAATTCAGCAAAAATGATATAGAGGTTACCTCTAGTTACTGAGACCATGGTTGATTTAATATTCTTCCTATGTTTTTATATTTAATAAACAGGAAAAAGATTAAAGATGCAAATCTATGAAAATAAAAATTTAAGCAATGTTTTCTGTTCATAAAGGAAAAAGGCAGAATCAGGCTACTGTTTAAATATTCACCTAGGTCTGTTTTCTTATTGCATCTGTGAATAATTATGGACATCAAATAGGAACAAGGCAGGAGAATATCTGAATCTATTTCAAGGTCCTAACAATATTGACAGTGCTTCAATTTTGTCTCTTCTTTATGAAGCCATAAAGCCTTTTTAGGGCTACTAGAGCTGCCACATGTAATCCTAAAGGATGTATCATTCTCCACCTTTACAAAGCTGGGCCCATTATCTCAAGTAGAGGATCGTTAGTGATCAGTCTCTTAACTGCATTGGATTGCAAGGGTGATATGTAAGAGATTCAAGTAAAGATAGACTATAGTAGCCAGAGTTTTAATTCCAAACTTAAATTTAGTCACCCTGTGAGCTGAGCTGTATACCACAGTATGTCACCCAGTATTTTTGGTCTACAGTAGCCAGACCTAAGTGGTTGAAACAAACAATAACAAACACTAACAACCACAATGACCACTACAAAACAGCCATAGAGTCTTCTTTGGTGTCTGCTCCTAAGCCCTCACACTAGTATCAGCTGTCTGGATTTCACCAGTCTGTGGTGAGAAGAGGAAAGACAACCCAAGTAGACTGTACCAAAGTCAGAGAAGAGAACAGTTTGCTACAAGGCCTAGAGAAATGCTAGTCTAAGGCACCCACATCTGGGCCTTCCCAGGATGGGGACCTCCCCATTGGGAGGCAGCCCAAGGTCCATTTTGTTGCAGCAGTTGCAACATGAGAAAAAACAAAAATGATACATAATAACTTCAAGATAACAAATGCAAAACAATGTCTCCATGATCTGGAAGCCAGAGTTTTAACTTTCCATCTTCACCAAGAACTCAATTGTGGCTCAGTATTGCTTTAGACTTGACCTGTTCTTTAAATATGCTACCCTCTGAAGTATAGGAATTACATAAAAATAAAGAACCCAGATGAATAAGTTATTTGAATGATAAACAACTGGTAGACAGGGTAACTCAGTGCTAATGCCAGCCCGAGATTTGGCAATGTTGGGAGTCTGCACATGATCACTTTGCTTATTTCAAGTTAAATGAAGATATAATTTAGCCTTCCTAGTTAAACAGCTTACTTTTCACATACATCCCACTTTAAGACAACTTCCAACCTCAGGTCCCCCCACCTTTCTACCCCATGGCTGCACACAACGTGGCTAACAAGCCGCAGTTTCAGTGGGCCTCAGACAACATAGATGTAAGGAGAATTTGAAGTTATACCTGGTGGAGCATTCTGAAAGATGGTGATTTCCTTTTCTTTCACTCTCAACTCCAACCTATTTGCCTTTGCTGAGCCATATGGTTGGTGGGACTGATGGGTAGCTAAATCCGAGTGTGGCCCTAGGCAAGGTGGGAATTCTGGTGAGGAGGGCTGGTGGAGACTTTCTTCTCTGTGCGCTGGGTAAGAACTTGGCAAGCAGCACTAGAGACCCTTGGGGTGAAGACAGAGGTTCTTGGAAAGAGCTTGTTTTATACAGATGTATGCTCACTACACCTTGCAGGGATCGACAGTGACTTTATATAAATATATTAGATTTTCTAACCCCTATAGGCCAAAAATCAGCTGAATATGTGTGGATTGAGTCCTTCTCATAAGGGGCAGAGAGACTGTCAGATGTTATCTTCAATGAGTCAACAACAATAACAATAATAAAAAGACAACTTACCTAAAAGACTCAGTAGAAGAAAGGTGAGTAGTCAGTACAAATAGGACACATACTTGGTAAAATAGGGTTGCAGGAGGAGATGGAATACAACTGAAGCAAAAGACATAATCAGAGCATTTAAGGAGATTTAAATATAACCAAATAAGAGTTTCTGTAATCAAAGATTATCCTAGTGATTTCGCTGGCTGATTTGGAAAGGAAGGTCACTTTTGAAATAGAAATTTGTGAAAACATATCAAAAGATGGAAGTCATTATGGAGAAGATAAGATTAGCTCCATAAGACTCACTATACTCATTGTAGGAATTCCAAAAATAGAGAGGAACGGGAGAAGGAATGTCAGTAATTAAACAATAGCAAGAAATGTCTGTGATTTGAAGGAAGCTCTGAAGATCTAAATCTACACACAGAAAGGGCTCACAGATTCCAGTAGGGTGCATTAATAGAGACATACTGAGGCAGGTAAAAACTCTTGAGCTCTGTCAGGACAAAAATTATCCAAAAGTTTGAAATTGATAAAAGAGATTGTTCAGTGCTATTTCCCATGCAGGTCTGGGCTTGACTTTTTATTGACTGAATTGTTTAAAGTGTGTGGTGGCAGAAGCCTGCAGTGGTAGAGGTTAATGTCTAGATTTTTGTGCTCTAGAGATGAAAATAATTTCTGTTTAGTGGAACAAAAGGATACAGCTCATGGCCCTAAGACACTAAAAAGTTTTGTATTTAACCTAGTGATTTTATCTTATCATTCCTTTATCAAATTACCTGTATATACTTACCTTCTTTAATCGTCTTTGAACCTTTTGTTAACATTTTACTGGTTTCCTCATTTTTTAATGAGGTAAAATTATTGGCAAACATTCATTTTATATTGAATGAGAATCATGGTGTTGTCTTTTTGAAAATGACTTTTTTAAGTTTTGGAGAGAAATCACTAGAACACCCAAGCGCACTCAAGAGGGTGCTGTATTTCTGGATAAGTGTAGCTCGTGGGCTGTGTATGCTCAAGTTCGTCTTTTCTTGCCCCTTAAAGTAGATCCTCAGCAGCAACTAAAGTTTGCCAATGCTCTGTTCCTCTATTATTTTTTTCCTCTCTCTTTATATTGATTTTGTGCTTTTGCTTTTTCTGGTTCCTGAATGGGCAGTAGTCATTCCCCATTGGTGGCAGCAATGATTGGGAATTGTGTTTTATGGTCTGACCACTGGTGATCTCTGTCCAATGGATGATGGAGATCTAGTCTCTGAAGGGTGAGAGATGACAGGATTTGATTTGTTAATCTTTTTCTGTTTGCCTATTTGTGAACTCTAATCGATTGAAAAATACTCTGTGACCATTATGGAAGGGCAACAGCTCTTGCGATCTAGACTAGTGAGTTTTTATGTTTCTGGTCTTACTTTGGACCTGCAGCTGAAGTTGTATACTTGGGCTAAAAATTATTTGTTTGTAATTCCAAAAAGCCTTTACCTCTTGTGTATGAATGGGCAGCATTTTCTTACTTCTGGAGAGTATTTAAAAATTAGGTCTAATGTCCATTAAATTAAAGGAGATCTGTTCTGATTGCTTTTTCAAGATAAACAAGTCCTTATATAAATCAAGTATTCCAAGAATTCACAAAAACCCCGAATCTTTAATACTTTAAATGTGTGAAAGCAATTCTTCTTACAGAAACTTGTATCACAGAAATATTTTAAGAATCCAGGCTCACAAAATTAAGGGAATGTTTGGATGAATTAGACTGCTTCTATAATTTTCTGTGATTTACTAGCGTTCAGTATAGCATAGCCATCTTTTTAGTTTCCTTTGTAAACATGATTTAAGTATGTTTCTCATAAGGAGATTAGTTAATATATGAACATTCTAAACTTCTTACATTGTCTTACAGATCAAATAAACATTATAGTTATATAACGCTCAAGATGATAAAACTGTAAATTTGTCTTCATAATTCTGACATTTTTACAGCAGTAGTTATGTTCTGTAGTGTGTCAATTTGAACATAATTTTCAAAATTCTTAGGTAACTTAAAACTTTGGAATTTTATAAATTATGTTAATTAAAGTATAATCAGTAGATACCAAGATAATTCATATATAGTATTGGTACTGAAATGTTGATTACTATACATAATTTCAAGTTCATATAATTTCGCATCTAACTGTGATACACTATATAGTGGGTATATCTTTGGGCTATGATATGGTTTGGATGTTTTGTCTCCTTCAAATCTCATGTTGAAATGTGATCCCCACTGTTGGAGGTGGGGCCTGGTGGGAGGTGTTAGAATCATGAGGGTGGATCCTTTATGAATGGCTTGGTGCCATCCTCCTGGTAATGAGTTCTTGTTCTATGACTTTATGTGAGAACTGGTTGTTTAGAAGAGCCTGGCACCTCCCACTCCCTGTCTTCTTCCTTTCTTGTTTGCTCCCCCTCTCTCTTGCTCCCTGTCTCACCATGTGACATGCTGGTTCCCCTTCGCCTTCCGCCATGATTGGAAACTTCCTGAGGCTTTCACCAGAAGCAGATGCTGGCACCACACTTCCTGTACAGCCTGCAGAACCATGAGCCAAAATACCTCTTTTCTTTATAAATTACCCAGCCTCAGGTATTCTGTTATAGCAACACAAACAGACTAAACAGGATATTCAGAATAATACAGAAATGAATATTTTATTTTTGCTACTTTGTGAGGGCGTAAAGTGATATGTGTAGCAGGAGAAATTTTTGTTATCAGTATTCATTAGTTTTATTGTACTGGTAAAATTCCTAATTATGATGTATTTGTCAACTTTCTAGTTTCTAGTTTGTGCTGTGAAATAGAAATTATAGTTTTAGTTAAAAGTTGAATTAATGTGACTGGTTGAGACTATACTAGGAGCCATAGAGAGGAAATACAAGTGGGTATGTGCTTTTGTTTTTCAAGGAAAAAGGGGAATGATTTTCTCCTATATTAGTGTCAGTTTGTTCCAGAAAATGAGAGCACAGTGAAGGACAAAATCTGATTCTGTATAGCAAGTTATAGAGGGTTTGAAGGATATGAATTTTATTTGCCTTGAATTATAATAACTGAAATGGAAAAGAAGCTATAAAATATATTAAAATTTTGGCAGTTTGGTTTTGATAGGTTTATTCACCAGATAATGTAAGGAATGAAAAAGGGCTTGTGAATCTTTTACTGCCAAATATATTAATTAAAAACTAGAATTCATCTTTCTCTCTGTTAAAAATGATAATCTTAGAACTTTTAGTAAGGTATATAAAATGTTATTCTGCACCCTCTGTGAAATCTATTCCTATAGCAGAGACTCCATATCTCATCAGAATAATTTTCTCTGCTTTATGTTGGGTTTTATAATGTCCTTAATTATTATTATTATTATTATTTTGAGATGGAATCTTGCTCTGTCGCCCAGGCTGGAGTGCAGTGGCGCAATCTCGGCTCACTGCAAGCTCCGCCTTCCGGGTTCACGCCTTTCTCCTGCCTCAGCCTCCTGAGTAGCTGGGACTACAGGCGCCCGCCACCACGCCCAGCTAATTTTTTGTATTTTTAGTAGAGATGGGGTTTCACCATGTTAGCCAGGATGGTCTCAATCTCCTGACCTCCTGATCCGCCCATCTTGGCCTCCCAAAGTGCTGGGATTACAGGCGTGAGCCACCGCACCCGGCCCTTATTATTTTTTAAAAGAGCAAAAATAAAGAACAAATGTTCCTGACTTGTGAAAGAACTAGTTTCTTACAATAATTTAACTTGTTTGCTGTTATTTTAAAATATTTTATTGTCACTTTGATTAAATAAACAACCAAGTACTATTTCTCAGGATTCATCATGCTATCTTAGTCAAGTAACCAAATCTCCAACAACTTTTGATTTTGCCTTCTCAAATTCAGATCCTAAAATTAGAAAACTAGGTTGTCTTTTATTCTAAATCTATTCTTGTGAGTTGCCCAAGGGACCCTGGAAAATCACAAAGATTTATTATTTTACCTTATGAAGAGAAATGCTGGAAATAAATGTTCAGTATGTTCCATATTTTACAATTACCTTGACACTATTGTAAGAGCTATATAGGAAAAATTGTCAAATCAGAAGACATGCATGTTCAATCTTTCTTTGTTAAGTTTGCATAGGTAAAATGTTATTAATATAAATATTTTAGAAACTGCATGTTTTATGGGAGGCCTCTGAGATTTATCAGTACTCTTTATTCTTATCCTCAGGAAAAACATTGATCAAACCCTTATGAAATAGTTATGTACTGTATCCCAAAAGAGAATATGACTTTCCTTCATTCTGATATTCTTAGTCACTATAATAAATTGACCACTGTCATTGTTTTATTATTAAACAACTGTCAGCCTCCCTTAGATATTTGCCTGAAGGCTATTCTATAAGCTACAGATGAGTTTAATTTTTTTTTTTTTTTTTTTACACAAAGAAAGGCAGTTTCAGGGCCTCATGGGATGAATGCTACCAGGTACTCTAAAGTGTTTACACTTTAAAGAATAGATACTTGGATATATGCTTCAGAACTCTCTTTGCTTAGACAAGTTTTAGATTTTTACCAGTGGACTGAGTTAGGAATTCCAGGACTTTTGTTAGCCCTATAGCAGATACGCTTGATGAAAGCAAAAGGTAGACTATTTGGCCCAACATGTAGTGGAACAAGAATGATCTACATAGGACTAAATTAATTGATAGGGAAAGTTAAATTATGGTTATTTATTTGAAATATTGTTGATGTTATTTTTAATGTTTCATTTTTAATGGGTATATGAGGAAACTCTTAAGCTTTCACTAGCTTTCAATTTAGGAAACTTTGCTTCTTAAACAGAAATAAAATATTTTAATGATATCTGATTCACATTGACTTCAGAATTCAGAAATAATTCTACTGAGTGTTATTTGTTCAATAGTAATAAAACTGTTTGTATAGGCTCAGTAAGAATCTGTCCTTCTTTTAACCAGGATACAATTGGACAAACTGATTGTGCAACTGACTCCACACAAATCTCATTTAATCAGGTATGACATACCCCCATTAAGAAGCATCATTTGGCTTTATATAAGGAGCCTATGCTATTTGCAATATGTTTATTCTCAGAAAACATCTTGTTGAAAGGTTATAATCAAACAAGAAATGAACCATATCAGAAACTAAAATACAGGAAATTGAAGAAGACAGAAAACAGTGAGAATCAGTTTAAATTATCTATTATACAGAAAATAAATTATCTGGAAATATATTACACAAGTGCCAAATTGGGATTTCTAAGACAGAAGGAACCTACCACAAGAAATCTTCTAGTAGTCTAGGACAAAAAGTATTAAAATCTAGTAAATATCTCAGCAAAGACAAGAATTGGACTGGAAGGGGCAGAGTAAAAATATTCCAAAGGTCTCATAGCAGTGGGCCAGGACAGAGCACAGGAAGTGGTCCAAAAATATCATTTTATTGGGATGAGAGGGAAGAAGGGAGAAAAATGGAACATGTTTATAAGTTTATTTCAAATATCAGTAAAGACAAATGTATCTGATTTAGAACAGACAAATGAAAGGTGTTTCTAACAGGAAAATATGGAAGAAATTCCAAATTAATAAGAGAAAAAGTGGAAGAAACAGCAATTCGATTTTACCAGAGAAAAAGGAATGGGAAAAAGTGGCAACTTTAATGGAAATTAATATTAAGCATAAGGAAAGTTGGAAGAAATAAGATCAAATATATGTTATTTTACTAAATATAAATGCACTATGTTCTGTCATTGAAAGAGAGACTATCAGGTTGTGTTAAAAATTACAACTTAGTCACATGATTTATATAAGAAACACCCTTAAAATAACTGGTTGAATATAAAAGAATTAACAAAAAAAGACCAGACAAATGCAAACAAAAAGAAGCCAAACTGGAATATTAATTTTAAAAAGGTAGAATTTAATGTTAATGGCACTAAACCTAGAAAATAAGACATTACATGATAAAAGGCACAATTTTTGAGGAAGATTTAGCTATCAAAACCTTCTATACACCAAGTAATACAGGAGACGAATAAATATATAAGAACAATTGGAAATTCAAGTAGAAGATGAAAACATAAACACTGTTTTAGTGGGAGACTTCAATATACCCATTTTAGAAATAAGAATATAGATAAAGAATACAATTAATATCATCCTTATTTCAGAGAAAATACTTTTTTATCTATGCAAAAATTATAAAAATTGTTAATATATTTAGCCACAAAGAAAATTTTAAAATTCAAAAAAGTAGAGATTTAGCAGACATCTTAAAAGTGTTCTCTGATTTTAATCTTATAAAATTAGAAAAAAATTTAATAAAATCTTAGAAATGCAGAAATAAAAAATTATATTTATAGATAATCTCACTGGTTGATGAGAAAATAAAAAGGAAGCAATAGATATCACTTTATTCCCAAATCGAATAGAACACAATCTAAGTTGTGCTTCATTATTAAAGACCAGATAATAGCTAAACATAAGGGTATAAAATTTGTCTAGGTACAGTTAAAGAGATCAATAGAACAGAATAGAAAGTCTAGTGACAGACACAAATGCATGTAAGAATTTAGTAAAGTAAAAGCACCATTTAATTGCCATGGTGACAGGAAAAATTATTCAATATTTTTTTTAGAGGGGGCCAACCAGTTATTTACTTGGAAGCAAAATAATTAGGTCTAATAAAACTTTCATTACACATTAAAACAATTTCTTGAGAAATTAAAAACTTAAATGTACCGAGATAAATGATATAAATTTTAAAGAAAATATAAGTGAAAGTTTAAAAACTGGGCTATGCAAAGATTTTCTAAGCAGAAGGTAGAATACAGAAGTAAAAATGACTAAAGTTTAATAGATTTCAAATCCTAAACGTTTGAAACTTTCATAGTTCTAAACTCCATGAACAGAAGTGAGAGGTAGATAACAAAGCAGGAAAAGTGTGTTAGCTGGAGAGTCAGTGGGCAAGGACTTAAATTCTTCAATATGTAATTACACTTAGAAATCAATAAAAGAGAGGCAATGATTGGATAAGGAATATGGACAAGAAATTCTCAAAAGAAGAAATGGAAATGATAAATAAACATAAAACTATATAGTCTCACTAGTGATCAAAAAAATATATATATTTCAAGGAAATGTATATATATGTATGTATCCACACAAACACACACATATATACATACACAAAAAATAATTGGACATCATTTTTTACCTATTAAATTTCTAAAGATTAAAATTATGTTAATACTCAATGTAGATGAGGATATTTGGAAAAAAGCACTTTCATATTCTGCTGCTGGGTATGTGCAGCATTTCTGGAGTATAATTTAGAAATGCTTTTTGGTTTCTGAAATATTTCATTGAGAAAATAATAACTCAAGATATTCATCATAGAATTCTATATCAAATAATTGAATACTCATGTATTAAACTATGCATATAATTATTTACAATAACATTGTGGGATGAAATTTAATAAGATGGACAATAAATATTTAATAAATGATAGCACAATAAAGTATAAAGTAATTTAAAAAATACATTTAATTTTTAGAAACAAGAGTAGAAGGATAATTTTTTAAACATTAACGATTTACTCTGGGTCATGAGATTTGTAGGTAATTTTAGTTTTCTTCATTTTGTTAATGTATGTTATTAGAGTTACAAAGAACATTAATTTCTGGTAAAAATAAAGCCATTTATAAGAAAATGACAATACCCTTAGATTCTGTTATCCATATACCCTTTAAGTATAGAACTAGCTTATATATCCAACTTCAACTTAATTTCCAAATATCTTTGGCTTGAAAAAGATAAATCCTTTGAGTATGAGATTAGAAGGCTGATATCTCTGTGTTTATTTTTTAAAGCAGAGTTAGATTTTGGGAGAAAAATAACTCTGTCTGATTCCCTGGATTTTTGCCAACAATTTTTGGGTATGTATGTGTGTGTGTTTTGCACGTAAAATTTTAAAAATGCTTAGCTGGACAAGATGTGTTTTATTAATGACATGTAGCATAGCCAAAGTTTAATTTTTTTTTCTTTTATTTTGAGACGGAGTTTGCTCTGTCACCAGGCTGGAGCACAGTGGCGCGATCTCGGCTCACTGCAACCTTCAACTCCCTGGTTCAAGCGGTTCTCCTGCCTCAGGCTCCCAAGTAGGTGGGATTACAGGCACGAACCACCACGCCCAGCTAATTTTTGTATTTTTAGTAGAGACGGGGTTTCACCATGTTGGCCAGGATGGTCTCCATCTCCTGACCTTGTGATCTGCCTGCCTCGGCCTCCCAAAGTGGTGGGATTACAGGCGGGAGCCACCGCACCTGGCCCAAAGTTTAATTTTAAATTCATTCAGAAGTGTATTCCTGAGATACTTAAACACTAATACCAGGTTCCTAAAATATCTGCCCAGAAACTTTCAGAAATTTTAATTAATATTCCAAAGAAAAATTATTTCAAATTATTTAACCTCTCATTAAAACTCATTTTCTTTTTTATTTTATTTTATTATTATTATACTTTAAGTTTTAGGGTACATGTGCAAAATGTGCAGGTTTGTTACATGTGTATACATGTGCCATGTTGGTGTACTGCACCCATTAACTCGTCATTTAGCATTAGGTATATCTCCTAATGCTATCCCTCCCCCCTCCCCCCACCCCACAACAGTCCCTGGAGTGTGATGTTCCCCTTCCTGTGTCCATGTGTTCTCGTTGTTCAATTCCCACCTATGAGTGAGAACATGCAGTGTTTGGTTTTTTGTCCTTGCGATGGTTTGCTGAGAATGATGATTTCCAGTTTCATCCATGTCCCCACAAAGGACATAAACTCATCATTTTTTTATGGCTGCATAGTATTCCATGGTGTGTATGTGCCACATTTTTTTAATCCAGTCTATCATTGTTGGACATTTGGGTTGGTTCCAAGTCTTTGCTATTATGAATAGTGCCGCAATAAACCACGTGTGCATGTGTCTTTATAGCAGCATGATTTATAGTCCTTTGGGTATATACCCAGTAATGGGATGGCTGGGTCAAATGGTATTTCTAATTCTAGATCCCTGAGGAATTGCCACACTGTCTTCCACAATGGTTGAACTAGTTTACAGTCCCACCAACAGTGTAAAAGTGTTCCTATTTCTCCACATCCTCTCCAGCACCTGTTGTTTCCTGACTTTTTAATGATTGCCATTCTAACTGGTGTGAGATGGTATCTCATTGTGGTTTTGATTTGCGTTTCTCTGATGGCCAGTGATGGTGAGCATTTTTTCATGTGTTTTTTGGCTGCATAAATGTCTTCTTTTGAGAAGTGTCTGTTCATATCCTTTGCCCACTTTTTGATGGGGTTGTTTGTTTTTTTCTTGTAAATTTGTTTGAGTTCATTGTAGATTCTGGATATTAGCCCTTTGTCAGATGAGTAGGTTGTGAAAATTTTCTCCCATTTTGTATGTTGCCTGTTCCCAATATCCTTGATGAACATTGATGCAAAAATCCTCAATAAAATACTGGCAAACTGAATCCAGCAGCACATCAAAAACTTATCCACTATGATCAAGTGGGCTTCATCCCTTGGATGCAAGACTGGTTCAACATACACAAATCAATAAATGTAATCCAACATATAAACAGAACCAAAGACAAAAACCACATGATTATCTCAATAGATGCAGAAAAGAGCCTTTGACAAAATTCAACAACCCTTCATGCTAAAAGCTCTCAATAAATTAGGTATTGATGGGACGTATCTCAAAATAATAAGAGCTATCTATGACAACCCCACAGCCAATATCATACTGAATGGGCAAAAACTGGAAGCATTCCCTTTGAAAACTGGCACAAGACAGGGATGCCCTCTCTCACCACTCCTATTCAACATAATGTTGGAAGTTCTGGCCAGGGCAATTAGGCAAGAGAAAGAAATAAAGGGTATTCGATTAGGAAAAGAGGAAGTCAAATTGTCCCTGTTTGCAGATGACATGATTGTATATCTAGAAAACCCCATTGTCTCAGCCCAAAATCTCCTTAAGCTGATAAGCAACTTCAGCAAAGTCTCAGGATACAAAATCAATGTACAAAAATCACAAGCATTCTTATACAGCAATAACAGACAAACAGAGAGCCAAATCATGAGTGAACTCCCATTCACAATTGCTTCAAAGAGAATAAAATACCTAGGAATCCAACTTACAAGGGATGTGAAGGACCTCTTTAAGGAGAACTACAAACCACTGCTCAATGAAATAAAAGAGGATACAAACAAATGGAAGAACATTCCATGCTCATGGGTTGGAAGAATCAATATTGTGAAAATGACCATACTGCCCAAGGTAATTTATAGATTCAATGCCATCCCCATCAAGCTACCAATGACTTTCTTCACAGAATTGGAAAAAACTACTTTAAAGTTCATATGGAACCAAAAAAGAGCCCTCATTGCCAAGTCAATCCTAAGCCAAAAGAACACAGCTGGAGGCATCATGCTACCTGACTTCAAACTATACTACAAGGCTACAGTAACCAAAACAGCATGGTACTGGTACCAAAACAGAGATATAGATCAATGGAACAGAACAGAGCCCTCAGAAATAATGCCGCATATCTACAACTATCTGATCTTTGACAAACCTGAGAAAAACAAGCAATGGGGAAAGGATTCCCTATTTAATAAATGGTGCTGGGAAAACTGGCTAGCCATATGTAGAAAGCTGAAACTGGATCCCTTCCTTACACCTTATACAAAAATTAATTCAAGATGGATTAAAGACTTACATGTTAGACCTAAAACCATAAAAACCCTAGAAGAAAACCTAGGCAATACCATTCAGGACATAGGCATGGGCAAGGACTTCTTGTCTAAAACACCAAAAGCAATGGCAACAAAAGCCAAAATTGACAAATGGGATCTAATTAAACTAAAGAGCTTCTGCACAGTAAAACTCATTTTCTAAAGGTCAAAAATATGAAAACATGAAACATGAAAACAAATTTCTAGCTTCTCCAAGTTACTCTTTGTGTACCTACACAACCATGTGCCAATTCTTAGGGTCAGCCCTAGGAAAGGCTGTGAAGTACGGGACATGGTAAGAAGATGTTAGGGTCCAAAAAATTGTTCTTAGTGCCATATGTTCATAAGTGGAGAGTGACTCAGAGGGATTTCAACTCACTGTATAGCTGAGTAAGAACCTTTGGAATCAGGAAATCTGTCATCCTACTTTGGAAACTCTACCCTAAATGGATCAGGTTTAACCATGACCAAAGTCTATTGAGGCAATTCAAGACCACCCATCCCACCTAATCCTACACCACCCTACAAAAATTTCTACATTTAGGATCTTCAAGATACTTAATATATTGCAGAAAGTCAGCTTTTAAGGAGCAAATAAAGAAGGGAACACCTGTCTAAACAGGAAGCAAATGGTGGCCACTTAGTCTCATTTCAGGATCCAGTTTCGCCCCCAGATCTGCAAGTCTTTGGCTCGGCTCCCTGAGTCACTCCGGCTCCTGACTTCTGAAACACACTCCTGGTCTTGGTTGTTTTTGTTAGTGCAAGAAGCTCTGTCATTGGAAACAGATTGGAATGTAAAAGTTGTACTAGTAATATTAATTAGAAAACCAGGCCGGGCGCGGTGGCTCACGCCTGTAATCCCAGCACTTTGGGAGGCCAAGGCAGGCGGATCACGAGGTCAGGAGATCGAGACCATCCCGGCTAAAACGGTGAAACCCCGTCTCTACTAAAAATACAAAAAATTAGCTGGGCGTAGTGGCGGGCGCCTGTAGTCCCAGCTACTTGGGAGGCTGAGGCAGGAGAATGGCGTGAACCCGGGAGGCGGAGCTTGCAGTGAGCCGAGATCCCGCCACGGCACTCCAGCCTGGGCGACAGAGCGAGACTCCGTCTCAAAAAAAAAAAAGAAAAAAAAAAAAAAAGAAAACCAAAATCGTAGTAAATAAAGGAAATACAAAACCATGGTGATCCAGTGTATGCAATTTTTAACCCAAAAAGCAAAATCAACCTTTGCTTCCTCTTTGCCATATTTCCTCTTACCTTCTCCCTGTATCTTTGCTGTTCTGAGGTGGAGAAAGGGCTTAAATGGAAACTTATTAGATTCTCTGTTTTCAGTGGATGCTGAATGGTAAGTAAGTGGATGGGTTATTCCTGGACTGTAAAGTATTTCTCTCTTCTCTGGGAGTATACTGATTTAAGGAATAGGTGACAACAGCCAGGAGAGCCATGTAACTCTGTCTGTCTGTCTTACTTTCTTTTTGTTGTAAGGTGTTGAATTATTGGAATGAGATCTATGTTTAACTCTGGGGGAATTTGATTGATAAAGGCCTTAACATTCAGACAATTATTATGCCTATAACTCTCCTTGAGTTTCACAACAGAATAAAGCAAGTACTCTTTTACTGTGTAAGTTTTAAAATAAATACTACTGAGATCCCTGAGTGGGTAGTCATTTGTAGTGTTGTTCTTGACATGGACTTCAGTTTTCTAATTGAGAAAAAGTCAGAGAGATGAGAAAACGGAGAACGCTTGGTATTGATTGGTAGAATTTTATAAAATTGCTGATCATGAAGGGATCTTGGGGTAAATAACATCAGCCCCTCAAACTTACAGAAAAAGGAATAGAAGGTCAAAGTCACACCTGTAATGTCACATTATGAATGGTAGAATTAGGGCCAGAGAGTGCAAGTGAGTTTCATGTTACCAGAAGTTACAGACTCCAAAGTTATTTTGGTTTTTGGAAATAGTGACTGATGTGATATTGGTATTTAAATGTATATTCTTAAACTCTTTTTCATTTCCCTCTTCCTGTCTCTCTAGAGCTCTGCCTTCATGCTTCTCTTTTTTTTTCTGTTTGTTCTATTGTCTTTGAAGAATGTGCAATCTCATAAACAAAAGGAACAACTTTTAGAAATGAAGATAACTTCAGGTTTTTTCCTCTTTTTTCAAGGATCATTTGCGAGCAATTGAGAATCCATGTTAGAGTCAAACATGAATTTCCGTGTATAGAAATTCCATGTATAGAGATCCATTTAAGTCATAAATTAAGGTAATGGGGCATGAGATTTCTTTAAAACACATTTTCAGAACTGGCTTCCAAAAGGTGATACCCACCATATATCAGTTTCTAAGAGAGTCTGGAAAGATGCAACCCACTGAATTAGTTTACACTTCCTATCCAATGGTCTTCGAAAGTATTTAGCTGTATTTTCCCTGTGAGTATACTCTGCCTGGAAATTACTTTCGGAATTAGCTACCATACCTCTTTCTGGTCACTAGGGTGTCATTGAACAAATTGCTCCTAAGTGTTCTTTAGTGGCTGGAAAGAATTAAGTTGAGAATCTCAATATAATTTTTAAAAAGAAGACAACTCCATATTGCAAACATTTCTGAAAAGTAATTCCATTGTTAGGTTTGTTCATTCATTCAGCAAACATATACTGAAACATATACCTATCATAGGGTAGGTTCTTTATTAGGCACTGGAGAAACAAGATTAAAGTAATCCCTGACTCCCAAAAGGTAAGTCTAGCAAGACAGTAGCAAGTCACATTTAAATATAATGTAAAATTGCCTAGAAAGAGGCATCCACAGGGTTGCCTAAGTAGATTGGGCTGTAGTGCTAGAAGTGGTGTCATGGTAGAATGATGGTGATGGGGTGGTTGGATGGTAGGGAAAGAGAGGGAGATGGTGGTAGCAGTAGTAGAGTGGTGGAGGTTGGTGTTGATGGCTGGGGTGGGGATCTGAGAAAGCTTCTTGAAGAAGGTAATTTTTCAATTGAACACTGAAGGATAAATAGCAATTAGTCAAATGGAAGAGTAGCATGTTTCCTTATTCTTGCCCCTGAGTGCCCCAAACATATATGCAATGTATTTCATTTCAAATTCCAACTTATGTGACATGAGAACAACTCTGAGAGATTCTTCAAGTTCTCATCCTAAAACTTGGCTTGGCTCTTCTGATGTGTGGTATGCATCGTCACAACTCTCTGTACATTTGTAACCTATTCCACTGGAGAATGTATTATACACCACAATTTTTGCCCTCCTGTCAGTGTTTGATTCAAAGCATTATCTTCTCCATCGCCTTTGCTCTAGCAAAAAGTATACCATGCATCATCAGACCACCTAGTAACACTGACAGTTTTATATATCCCTGAGAAATCACTTTTGTAGCTGAAAGGCCCAAAAAGTTGTAGAGCAGAATTTTGGAGAAATAAGCAAAATAAAGACAACCTGTTAAATTCTCTAGTGGTGATGCACTTTACAAAAGTAGCATTCAGGGGACTAAGGTCACTGAGGTGAGAAAAATGATGCATGAGGCTGTCACAGAAATCTCATCTGTGTACTACAACTTTTAATCTGTTCCAGGTCAGTAGGGATTTAAAACGCCTGGAAAACAGGAATGGGGCAGTCAGGACATTCCTCAAGGGATCCTCAAAAGAAATATAGACTTTTTATGTCTTTCTTGCCATAGAGACCATGAAACCATGAAGTTCTTGACACCTGGACACATACTGGTCTCTGCTTAACACACCAACACATCTGCTTCTGATCTTCTAGCAGTTGTTTTCATTTTAGTTTCCATCAACATGTTCTCTGTTTTACTAATAAGTATTATTCTCTTCAACAGCTTTCCTAATCACCTATCTCTCTATCTACCTATCTATTTCTTGATCATCCGCAAAATTGATTGGCGATAGAAGACACTACCTATCTGTAGTACTGACTTGAATTGAAATGAAAAATCAGGCAAGTAGTGGTGAGTGTTTTCTAATATTGATAGCTATTATTTAGTGAGTGCTTATTCTGTGCCAGGCATTGTCTAGTTGATTAAAGGATAATTTCCCATGTATAATACACCTTCCAGGTGTGTGTTATTATCATTTCACAAATAATACATATGTATAAAGGTAAAAGGATTTCAAAGACCATGTATTAGAAAGTAGGAAAAGCAGAATTTCAACCCGAGCCAATGTTCTTTCCGCCACATCCAATCAATTTTAATCTTTCATAGATGTACATGACTTAGAAATGTTCTAATTAGCCTTCACTACACTTGAACTACAGATGCTTTCTAAATGTGAAGCAGATAAATCGGATCATTTCAAGAAATTTAGATATATGACCCTTAGACTGAAAAGTTTAAAAGTAGTAATGCAGGAGACTTTGTAGTGGAGAAGAAGAAAATTTCACAGATAAATGGAATCTGAACTAAAAACTGTAAAGATATATGAGAGATATAGAATAGAGAGGGGAAGATATTTTAGGAAGAGGGATATTATTTTGAGGAAATGTCACAGATAAGTATATTCATGAAAAGTGATGATAATCTGATTTTCCACTGATTGTATTGATAGTTTAAAACCTGAGCAGTACCAGGATGGGAAGTCAGGACCAAACAGCTGTGAAGGACTTATTGGTAAATGTAGGGTCCTCAAATTTCTCCCTGCCTTTTCTTTCTGTGTCCTGACCAGAAAAATCACAGAGTGACTTGACTGCTCTGTGATCCAGCCAGCTGCAGGTTTTTCCCCACAGGCTTGAACTCAAACCAGGGCCTTGAACCTTCCCAGATACTGATAAAAGTATCGAGGTTGTTGCCCCAAACACTGAAAGTAACAGGTCCCATCCCTGAGCCAAATTCCTTTAACTCCCATATAAACTTGATATGCTGACCCATCCACTGCAGGATATAACCTGGGTAGAACACCCCTTTTCTCTTGCTGTCCTTTGCGAGGACTGCTGCAGCCCGCTCTGTGCTTTCCTCTAAGAAATGGTTTGGACTGATCACCCTGGCAATTAGTGCTTCTGTCTTAGGAACCTCAACCTGCCTTATCTCGGGATGGTTTGGGGCACTGTCTTGTGGGAATTCTCCTCACTGCTGCTTTTGGGGTGATTCCAGCTGTGGGTTTGGCAGGATGAAACAGGCATGGAGATTAAGGTTATACTTAACCTTTTGCTGGGGGTGAGCTCTGAGAGAAATGGTTTCTCCTCACTTCAGAAAGAAAAAGAAGCAGAATTTCCTTGCATTTCATAAAAAGTCCCCAAATCTATATTTATGAGAATACCAATGTCAACCAGTGCCTTTGGAAGGCAAAGCTCTGTGGACTATGTCAGAGGACTGAGGTATGAAAAAGTTTATAATTATTAACCCCTCCTCTTGCCTTTACAAAAACATCTGGTGCACCAACTTTCTTCAACCAGAAATCTTTCAAAGCATGAAGTTAATAAATGAGAATGTAATAGGTCTGATAATGGTATGGACTCTATGGGAAATAGCAAATTAGCTAATAATTTTTCTAACTTTTACAGGATTCAAATGGAATTTTCACTTTAAGCCTTCTTTGGAAGTAATATATTTTTGTTTTTCAAGTCCGGAACAAAGAAAGAACAAAGATGATTTGATGTAGTGCAGCAGTTTGAAGATAGGTAAGCTGGGGGAGAGTGAGTAGGGTTAGCAGTGATGCAGACCTGAAGGTGTTCAGGGCATGCCAAGGGATTCCATAATATCACATGCTTCACAGGTGACCATGCCAACGCAGCAGAAAGCAGCAAGGCCAATATTCAGCTGGTATGCTGCAGTCCTACATACCACTTGGCATCAGTTTTTGATGGGTTAGGCATCTGTTCCAATTAGGTGAGGCCCATGCTATACTTGTTGTTAAATATTTTAAATATCCACCCCCAAAACAAGGCCAGCTACATTATTTGTGGGGCATAGCGCAGAAAGAAAATGTGGGGTTCCTTATTCAAACAGCAGGAAAACATTACTGTTAAAGATACTAAAATATGAAGATTTTTCTTTCTTCTGTAGTCTTTATCTCACCTTGTCATGGTATTTTTAATTTACTATGTCATTCTACGTTTAATACATTAACAATTGAATAAATACACTTTATAAAAATTTCAAAATGGTGACGGCAGGGCATTAAGCCAAGTGCATGGCCCATTTGAGTGTGTGTTTCTGCACACAGGTCGAATGCCCATTAAACTAATCTTGTCTGGAAAGTTAGAAAGTCTCAAACTTTAATAGCATCAAGATGAGCATTTGGCAAGAGCAATTCTTTCAGAGTACAGAATGAAAACAAGAAATAAACTAGAGACTTTGTATCTTTTACAACATAAGACATCCAGGAGTGCCGGGTACTATTCTGGGGGTGTAGGACACAAGCAGACAAGGAATATTGATATCAGCAGAGCACATGTTATGGACTTTCACAAACTCCTTGAGAAGGAATCCTGCAGGAGCCTGTGGGCTGGAGGCTGGTACCAACAGGTGAATTCCCAAATGGTTGAATTGACCCTGCCTATCAGCTGCTGATGTGTGAGTTGATCTCAACCCAGAAAGAAGTCTACGGGGTGTGGGGCAGAATTTCAGACTCCATTTTCATCCTTGTTTGGTCAATATTTTTACCCAATGACTTGGGAGAACACTTACATGGAATGAAACTGTGAAGAAGAGGAAATCCATTTAATGACAGAAATGAATAAAAAACCTTGGTCCTTTATTTCAGCCTTCCCAAATTTAAGAAGCACAGCTTGATACAAAAAAATAGTCATGTAAGCAAGGCATAGGAATAGGATCTTGAAAATGTGGATTCATAGTTGTATATGTAAAAAAGACCTAAAGGCGTTGCTGTAACTATAGCAAATTCATGCGAGTCAGCAGCATGAAGTAGCTAGAATAAAATAGCTAATTTGCTATTGAACTACGTAAATAGAAGTATAATATGTAAGACAAGGATGGCGACAATGAAATTCCACTCGGTACACTTCAGATCACACCTGTGGTATTGTATTTAATTTTTTAAAAAGTGATGTGAACAACTGAGACTGTGATTATTGGAACTGAGCAGGTTTTGCTACCCTACCAAGCAGGTAGGGATTTAAAACAATGTAATATCTACCCTACTGAGCAGGTAGGGACTTAAAACAATGGAATTTAAAGCAGAGTAGAAAAGTGGGATTATTTTGTTTTGAAGAAAGGAAAACTTGATAGGGAGGGGTGAAGAGGGGAAGGAAAGAAAGGAAAGGTGTTTCTGAATATCTGAAGAGCTCTCGTGGAAGAAGAATTAGTTTAACTAATTTAACTGAAGGATGAAACTACAGCCAATGGTAACTATGAGGAGAGGGTAGATTTCAGCTCAGTGTTAGAAGGAACTCTGAATTATAAGAGCTTTTAAAAAGAAGAAATGAGCTGCTTTGAAAAGTAATAAATTCCCTGTCGGTAGAGCACTGGTGTGCTGTTATCAAAAGAGGGTAAGTTGTATAGTCAGACAATCAGGGTTCACATTCAGGCGTTGACACTTACTAGTTAGTATAACTTGGTAAACTGCTTACCATCTCCCGGTTTTAGTTTCTGATGGAGGAGGATGTCTAACTTTACTAGAAGTGTTTGGAACATTAGAGAAAATCTATGTAAATCCCTGATACACACCCAAATATTGTGCTCATAAAATATAGAATGTTCATTACAGGCAGTATGTATCATTGGACACAAGTATATGAACATGTTTCTGGTCACAGAGGCTTAGTTAGACCTCAATATCTCTATCTGCAAGCCTTTAAAAAGTAGGAACTTGCTTAACATAGTTCTCATCAAACTTTCCCCTTAACTCAAATCATAAAAGCTATGATGATAAGAATTTGCCTACATGAATATTTTTAGAGCTTTCCTAGTGAATCATCAGTTTTTACATGAGCATATTAAATATGGTAAGGTGAATTTTGATATTCAAAGCAAAAAAAAAAAGTAAATGGAATTTAATGTATTATAAGCTTAAACTAAAATATCTACATTCTCGTCTTGTTTTCCCATCCTGTTTTCTGAAGCATATTTTTAAAACCATGGTATTTTCTAGACTGGGGTGGATGAATTAGGGAGGAATTATAGAGATCAGTACCAGCCAAGTGGGATAAGATAAATTCCATTTTATAGGTGGAATAACTGAGATAATCCCAGTGGTAAATGTATTGGGTGCCTTCTACGTGTTAAGTGCTGGGGCAGATACTTTACATTCTCTGATTCAGGCCTTGCAGCAACCCTGACTGAAGCAAGCCATGTTATCTTTCTTCCAAGGTGAGGGGCAGAGCTCTGTGAGGACTGAGACCGTGCCTCTTTTATTCACCACACTTACTCCCAGGGCCTAGAAAAATAACTGGCATATTAGGTACAGAGGAAATATTTGTTGAATCAGTGGACAAAGGAAAAAAGAAATGAAAACATGGAACCTCAGAAAGAACAAGCAAACTGACTGAGGTTACAAATCTCTCTAAATGGTGAAGGTTGACTCAGACTTGGGTCATTGTGTTGGCCCTCCTCAAAAGAGTTGCAGAATCTACCTATATGCCCTGGGTTTTCATGCGCAGTATAAGGTGCCATGGTTAGTAATATGCATTTTCATGTGGAAAGATCATGGACTATCTGGTAACCGATATTGGGTGCATCTGAGATAAAATATTATTACAGTTTTTTAGCCTCTGCAGTGGCATTTTTTTCGGAAACTTTTTTTTCTTTTTTTTACACAAGTTGATTCCACTATCCTTTCTGTATTAGATATTATTTTGAGTATGTCTTCTTTTCTCCTTCTGATCATGAGAACAATATATGGGAGACAACAAAATTACGTAGACTTAGGTGTGAATATTGACTGCCATATATCAGCTAAGTGACCTTAGGCAAGTTATGTAATGGGGATAATACTTCCTACATAGGTTCTTTTGTTTTCCTTTTTGGTCAGAATTAAATGAAATATGTGCATGTATATTGTAAGCATTCAATACCATGAATGATAAATTACTAACAATATATGCTTATTGTAGAAAATGTAAAAGTATTAAAAAGAAAATAATAAAACACTCCCAATTCCATTTTCAAAGATTAGTAGTTAGTAATTTGTTGTGTTTTCTTCTATCTTTTTCTCCTCTGTTTACATTTTTAAGTAGCTGAGATACCACTGCATATATAATTTTGTAAGCTGCTCTTCTTGTTTTTACCTCAGCAAGAGGCTAATTTGATGAAGAGATAAAAGCTGAAAAATGTCAGGCACGCCTTCCTTACCAGAGAATTTTGATGCTGTGTTCATAGAGCCCAGGTGGGCACTTCTTTGTCCTTTAAATTACTTTTCTATTCAAGGAGTGATGAAGTTGAAGGGTTGTTCCCTAGGACATCTGGAAGGCAGTAATCATTCTATGCTCTAATTGAGGAATAAATGTCCAGTTTTACTCTGTGCTTTTTCCAGGCCTGTGCTAATCAGGATGCTGGATCTTTGGGCTTTCAGATAATTAGTGATGGACGTTTTGCTCTGGTTGTTCAATAACCCTCCCTTTTTCTTTTCAATGCCTTCTCATTAGTAAGCCAAAGAGAAATTGCATCAAAGCAGCTAAATACACATTTATATGGCTCAAATATTATACCATGACCTGTTTGTGAATTACTCAAGGACCTGGAGTATTTAACTTGAAAACCAGGTATGCTTCTAGAGATGAGAGAGGATTGCCTTTAACAAGGGACACACTCAGATGCAAGCACCCAATGGTAGAAAATGTCATGTGGCTGTTTTCTTCCTGGCTAGCTCTGTTCGTCGGAGCGACCAAATTCAGCTAAGGTCAGGGACTGAGGGGTTGATGAGCTGGCACTTTTGGCTCTCACTTCATCTCGGGAAGGCATTGTGTTGTCAGAAATACACTTACTATTCTCAGGAGACAGGGCATTAAAATCCAAAGCAGTTACTGAATGCTCAGAGCAAAGGTTCTAGAAACCGTCACTAGCCTAGAAAGATAAATAAAAAGCAGATGTAAGTAGGAGTTAGGAAGCATTGGCCGTGGGTTTTCTGTATATTCTAACTGCTGAGAGTTTTGTTCCTGGCTGGAGTAGATTTCTAAAATTCTCATCATCACCATCATTTTCCTCCTCCTCATCATCATCATATTTGTTACGTGTGAGTGAGCAGGGACAGAAAGCTGCTTGACTTGTCTTCTGTTAGGCTGGTGGATATAGCATGTTGTGGGTTAAATCGTGTCCCTCCTTAAATATGTTCAAGTCCACACCCTTGGTATCTATGAGTGTGATCTTATTTGGAAACAGTATTTACAGATATAATCAAGTTAAGATGAGGGTCATATTGGATTGCAGGAAGAGGGAGGATCCCTAAATTCAACACTGGTGTCCTTATAACACTGTGTGAAGATACAGAGAGACACACTTGGAAGAACGCCACGTGAAGTTGGAGGCAGAGACTGGGGTGATGCAGCTGCCAACCCACAGACATCAAGGATCGCAGACTACCCTCAGAAGCTAGGAAGAGGCAAGGATGATTCCTTCCCAAGACCCTTCATGGGGAGCATGACCCTGCTAACACCTGGAATTTGGACATCTAGGCTCCAGAGCTATGACAGAATATGTTTATGTTCTTTTAAGCCCCCAAGTTTATGGCTTTTTGTCATGACAACCCTAGGAAACTAATAGATAGCATGCATGAGACTGACCTCCACCTATAAGCGTACTTTTTCAGGAGGACTAGAGTTCTTTTCTGTTTTCAGATCGAGCTTTACACTGCTTCTTATTCACTATTGCCTCCCTGAGGAAAATACAGAAATAGGGTATTCTTACAGTCCTGAGGGACTCATGGGTATACACACCGTCTTAGGTTGGGTTTCATTAGAAGTAGGCACTGACATGAGGATTTGTGTGGAAGCAGTTTCTTCGGAGACAATCCAAGGAAGCACTGATGAGGGAGTAGGGACATCTGATAGGGAAGGGAAGAAACAAATAAAGAGCCCATTACTGATCAGTTTACCATTGTGGGCAACCAGGGCTCAGTTCTACTGGGGAACTCTGGAAGACAATGCAAAACATACTTTAGAATCCCCCTCCACCACCAGAAGAGGGGAGTTGGAGACCTGTTGCCATAAATATGCCTTTTTTTCTTCCAAAAATCTTGTCCTTTTTTATTCCTATAGTGTGTGTGGTCTGCATTTTTAGAATTTGTTTATTTTTAAATAACCTCTGTGAGATCAACCTCTCAATCTGCATATTCAAATTTCAAAGTCATAATGAGCAGGACTTTTCTTGGATAAAAACTGATCAAACTGTATGTATTATCTTACTCCTTTCCATGATAATGCTGGATCCCTCTAGCCTGTCAGTGTGTAGGCATCATTCTGGAGCCTTCCTCCTCGATTTGCCTCTGCATACACATTTCCTGGATTAGAACCCTTAGTCCAGCTCTTGTCTACACTGTATGTTATGCACAATACCTGGAGAAGGTTAAGAGAACAGATCCTCAAAGGGTAGCTTTGAGGTCAAATATCCACATACTCTGAGTCTGCTTAAAGCAACACAGTGTAACTCCTTTGAGGATTTGAATTTGCCAACAGCTTACCAGGTGTGAAAGCCTGTTTACTTGATCTTTAGATTTTTTTTTTTAAGTCTTATTCTTAGTTACTGAGTCAGAATATCTGTTTTAGAAATGTCCTTTTAAGCTTTAGATTTGATTTGGCAAAGAGCATATATGAAAAAGTTAGCAAAGATTATTTAATTGTCTCTTTAACCAAGGAAATGATGAATGGGTCCAGGGATTACATTTGTCATGTATTTACATAGAAAGATTGCCCTACAAGAACATACTGTCCCCAAGTCAGAGAGCCTTTGGGTATTGCAAATTTTGTAAAGAAATTCAAGGCATGCAGGAGAGAAAAGTTTTATGTCACCTCAAACAATAGCAAGTGGCAATGGAACACCTGTCAAATGAACCTGCTTTCACTCCAACAGCAGCAGCATCATTGAAACTTTCAAGGTGTGATGAATTCTTATCCACCATGTTTTACAAAATGTTAATTCTTCTTGAACCAAAATTACAGTCCAGCAAATGAGCTCTTAGCAAAGCAACAAGTCATCATTCATATGAGGCTGTAGAGAGAACTTGAGCCAGAAATTATTAGCACAAATGATTTGCCAGAAACAAAGTGGAATCTTATTACGGACCAGACAAAATGGTGAATTAGACAATGAGAGGCAAAATAAGCAGCCAGCTATAGGAAGAGGGGGAAATAGTGTCTCCAGAGGGTAAACTAGAAAATGGTTTTTATTCTGTGTTATCCTTTAGAAAAAACAATTACTGACCATCTCCATAAACTTTGTCACATGCTCTTTGTCCAGGGTTACCGAAGGTAGAGCCCTAGAGTTGTGAGATGTAGTTTTCTTGGGTTTTTGTTGTCTCCTGTGATTGTAATAGGATCACTGTGTAGAGAGCCTATATCTGTCCTTTCTTTTAAATCTTCCTGAACTCTGCATACCACTGCTTTATTATAAATACATTTAAAAAATGAGGACATGAAATGGAAAGTTGTCTAGGGACTAGACTGTAATAACGTCTCCCTGGATATTAGGATTTGGTTTCTGAAAACCTTTGGGATAGGAAGTTTTAGTTAAATAACTAAAGATCATATACAGGAGAATATAGGAATAGGTCTCAAGTATGACTCTGAAAGCCCTAATAAACATATACTTACACCTAAACCTATGACCATCTGTTTCTATGTTTATGTCTTTACCTTTCTCTATATCCATGTGTATAGCTAATTTTAATATATTTTTAAAATGTTCAGACTTTTTTTATAAATTTTATTTTATTTTAATTTTAAGTTCTGGGATACATGTACAGGACATGCAGGTTTGTTACACAGGTAAATGTGTGCCATGGTGGTTTGCTGCACTTATCAATCTGTCATTTATCCTGATGCTCTCCCTCCCCCAACACCCCCGGATATGCCCATGTGTGTTGTTCCCCTCCCTGTGTCCATGTGTTTTCACTGTTCAGCTCCCACTTACAAGTGAGAACATGCAGTGTTTGGTTTTCTGTTCCTGTGTTAGTTTGCTGAGGATAATGACTTCCAACTTCATCCATGTCCCTGCAAAGGACATGATCTTATTCCTTTTTATGGCTGCATAGTATTCTATGGCATATATGTACCACATTTTCTTTATCCAGTCTATCATTGATGGGCATTTGGGTTGATTCCATGTATTTGCTACTGTGAATAGGGATGCAGTGGACATATGCATGCATGTATATTTATAATAGAATGATTTATATTCCTTGGGGTATATACCCAGTAATGGGATTTCTGGGTCAAATGGTATTTCTGGTTCTAGATCTTTGAGGAATTGCCACACTGTCTTCCACAATAGTTGAACTTGTTTACATTCCCACCAACAGTGTAAATGTGGTCCTATTTTTTCACAGCCTCGCCAGCATCTGTTGTTTCTTGACTTTTTAATAATTGTCATTCTGAGTGGCATGAGATGGTATCTCATTGTGGTTTTGATTTGCATTTCTCTAATGATCAGTGATGTTGAGCTGTTTTTCATATGTTTGTTGGCTGCATAATTGTCTTCTTTTGAGAAGTGTCCTTTGCCCACTTTTTATGGGGTTGTTTGGTTTTTTTTCTTGTAAATTTCAAACATCATTATTTTAATGGTACAGGTTACAGCAACACATAACTATGGATATGTAAAGGCATGTATTTATGTAAAGATATAAACATAGACACAGGTATACTGTAACTATGTAGTTACAGTCATTCAAACAATACTATTTCAATTGGACTCCAAATTATATTTTACATATCTAAAATTTTAAAAACCATAAATTTAATGCAGTTATTTCCAATTTCTTTCATCTTCAGGTGACTTTCTGAGATGCTATTTCTGGCAATTGTGGTGGTAAATCCTTCAACATTTGGATCACTGAGTTCTTCGATTTTCTTCCTTCTCTTCAGAAATTGAAGTTGTAAAATTGTTTGAGAAGTTTTATCAGTTCCTGGATGCATTTGAATAACACTAACCAGAGGACCAAGTAAACTATATAGTTTGGATGCATTTGAAAACTACATATATAGTTTGAAACTACATATATATAGTTGAAAACTACATATATATATATAAAATATATAAATGTATATATGTATATATAATGTATATATATAAATATATAAATACATTATTGTGTGTTTACTGGTCACATTATAACATATAATTTAATTATAGAATGTCTGAGGAAATTAACAAAAGGTCAAAGAAGAAAATAAATCATTCATAATGCTGTCATCTCAAAGCAGCCATTGTTAACATTTTGGTACATGTCCTTCCAAATATATATTTTAAATATTTCCAAACATAATTGTTCTAATGACATAGTGAGGTTAAAGCAAGAGTAATTATCTTAAACTTCCCTGACTTGTGCTCTCTCCAGCCTGATAAAGTGCCTAAGCTCTCCCTTATTACCATACCATGCTATTGTGGCAAGTCCAAAGCCGGTCCTATGGGCTCCTAAACAAGCATGTCTTCTGCACTCCAAGTCTACAGTGCAAAAGCACTCCATGACAGCTCTTCAGCCACCTTGTCTTTATCTTCCTTGAGAATACCTTGTCTGTGACAAGGGAACTTCTTCAGGTTCTCCCTAAACTGCAAATTCTTCAGCTAACAAAATAAACTTAATGCCCTGCAGTCCTCACTGTGGCAGAGCCATACTGTGTTTCATACCACATCTGCCGTGTCACTATCCTGGGGCCCTCAGAAGACGTGCTTGCCCTCAAGCCTAACAAAGTATTCCACAAAAATGCCTCCTTTTACCAGCACCTGCTCATTTTTTAGGACTCAAAAAATGCATAGCAACTGGGGAACAAACACTGTTCTGTTTGCTGCACCCTCTGTTTTTGACACTCCAGGCCCAGCAGAGCACATTTATCTCTGCCTATTAATGTGAGCAAACAGATTCCTTTACTGGCCCCACCAATTTAATCAGATATACTGTCAAACCTAGGCTCAAGCAGAGATCCCTATGATATGTTTGTTTTAGCTTTTTTTTTCTTTACAGCGGGAGGAAACTTAAATAGCTTTCAGTAAAAAAATAAAAATGATTTTATCAAGGTTTCCTCTTTCTCTCCAATTCTTAGTTCCATTCTCTTCAAATAGTAGGCATGATGACCCTGGTTAGCCTGAGTTCCACCTCAAAATCTTAACAATTCCATCGGAAAGAAATTTTTTTTTCCCCATTTGCTTTGACAAAAATATCAGTGAAGCGTCTGACTGTCCTGGTTTAGGACATGTGCTTATTTTTTAGCACTCACTCTAGCCCAAGGATGGCTTACTGTGATGGGCTACAGCTGTGTTGAATACTCAATTACAGCTGTGTTACCTTCCCACTCCCAAGACCTGCAGAGGTGTAGAGGTCAAGAAGAGGCCCATGATTGAGTACTCAAGGACTGAAGAATATTATGAGAATCAGAGTGGAGAAGGATACGTTTTCAAAAAGATGCTAGACAGATAATACCTGAATATCTATTATCATATATATATATTTTTTGTTGTGATCATAGAAGGTAAGCTCCCCACAAGCAGGGTTTTTGGTTGCTTTGTTCACTATTGTGTCCTCATCGTCGTGGTATATATTTTAAAAATTATTTTCACTTAAGACTGTATCATGACCATTTTCCCATGTGATTAATTTTTTTTTTTTGGTGGGGGGACGGTATCTCACTCTATCGCCCCGGCTGGAGTGCAGTGGTGCCATTTTGGCTCACTGCAAGCTCCACCTCCTGGGTTCATGCCTTTCTCCTGCCTCAGCGTCCCGAGTAGCTGGGATTACAGGCGCCCGACACCATGCCTGGCTAATTTTCTGTAATTTTAGTAGAGATGAGGTTTCACTGTGTTAGCCAGGATGGTCTCAATCTCGTGACCTTGTGATCTGCCCCGCCTCAGCCTCCCAAAGTGCTGGGATTACAGGTGTGAGCCACTGCACCAGGCTTAAATATTTTTTATAACATAATTTTAAGGACTCTACAGCATTCTATTGTTTGTAGTCTCCTACTTATTGCATCATTTTCTCCCAATTGTGCAAACCACTGTATATGTACTGTGATTTCCATCCTTTAATGTTATAAATTTCTCTTCTGATCAATGCTACCCAACTAAAAGAAACCATGCAGTGCACATTCAGTGATTTGTTTTGAGTCTCTTTGCACCTCCTTAGAAAATTGTATCAAATCATTTAAACCTCATATAAAGTTCCTGCTTTAATTTATGTAGTTGAGTACTAGATCACTCTGTGTCTTGCTTCCTAAGATGTAAAATAAGCATGATAGTACTACTCACCTCATAGGGCTGTTATCAGCATAAATGAGTATAGTATTGCCTGGCACTTAGTATGTCTAAGTGCTCAATAATTATTGGTTAAAATAACCATTATTATTGTTACCATTACATTGCCTTTCTCTAAAAGTAGGGTTAATATGTTAGTATGAGGGCACTGAGCTCAATAAGTGGAAGGGGCTAGCACTCGGAAAACAGAATCTGCAGGATATCAAATATAGATTACTACTTTTTGCAGTAATAATTGATGTATATGAAAAATTTGATTTGCTTCAATATGTTCCACAAAGTACTGGCTTTTATTTTCATGATGCTGGGCTCTTCTGTATCCTGACCATTCTGTATTTGTGTTCTTTTATGGGGGACACCGTCTCTCTTTCAGTCACATTTAATATTCAGTTTTTCTAGTGGTAGGAGGAGCATTTTAAAATGATTTCTATGAGTCCTTATTAGAAATGAACTCCCTACTGTGGCATCATAAGGTTTCATGTGTAAAACCATTAAACTTGAGAGCTGGAGCTGATGAGGCCTACCATCTAAGCACTTTATGTTCAATAACATTTGGCCTTCTAAAGCACTGCATAATTAGAATAATATTTTTTACCAGATTAGGAAGTCGTCACTGCCTGTGCAGTTGCAGGAGGGAGAACAAGTTTGGAAATCAACAATCCAGACTTCCAAGCTTCCACTCTTCATTCATTTCACCTCACAGGCTAGTCACAACACAAAGCGATGGTCACTTGGAGTCATGGATCCAATATGCACACAGTTGTGGAAGAAATGCAGAGACAATTTAATGTGTTTTCAATGAAGAATTGGCAGTTGTGGAAGGAATACTGCAGGTCCTCTTCTACTCTCAAAGGTGAGCTCCTCAAGGGCAGTGGTCTTGTCTGGCATGTTTTTGTATCGCCAGTGCCTGTGCAACCATAACCAAATGCCTCCTACTGGCCTGGATCTGTGGCAGGAGACTTACCTGATCTCATTGAATTCCCATAACAGCCTGAGGGGCTGGCAGCAGTAGACTCGTTTAAGAACCAGAGTGAGAAAACTGTGCAATTAAGTAGAGTAGCAGGGTGAGAAAACAGGTTCAGGTCTGTCTGCCACAAAACCCGTGTCTGGGAGGCATGTGACGGGGAGTCGGGAAGTGGACTCTGGAGCTGAACTATCTGACCTCCAACCCTGGCTCTGCCACTCACTGGCTGTGTCACTTAATCTCTCTGTCTCCAGTCCTACAATGTAAAATGAGAATGGTAACGATACTTGCCTCAAAGGCTATAAGCTTAAATGACTTTATAGTACTGCCTGGCATATACTATGTGTTCAGCAAATATCAGCAAAAATAACCATTATTGTTATGGTTGTTTTTGTTATTGTTACACTGCCCTTCTCTAAGAGAGAGTTTTAAATTTTGGCATTAGGGCACTGGGCTCAATAAATGATTAATAACATCGATTTTCTCTACAGAGAAGATCTTGGAATCTAATACATCTAATTTAATTTTTCCCTTAAATAATGGTTAGATAAGTATTAAAATGTGAATCTCCTTTTCTTTAAAGCAAAGGAGAAATGTTTACTTATTCCACTTCTTGCTTGACCAAATTATTTTTGTGGAATATTTTTGTTTACTTATGATCAAGAGGCACATGGTGTTGATCATTTCTTTTAATGTTTGCAACTCTTCTGTGGGTGTGGTTGGGTATTAAGAGGATGTGGGGCAGTGGAAGAATTTGTTTTGCTTATACTGTTTCTTTCATTAGAAAAACATTTGTTTTTTAGAAATGCACAGATATTTTGTACATTTCAAAGACATGAAAGGTAATCTTTATATTCAGAAAAAGAATATTGGAAAGATATCATAGGCAGCTGTTGCTTTTAAAAATGAATTTAAACAATTTGTTGGAGATCCTGGAAATATTTATATTGTGGATGATCTTGCCTCTCACTCAGCAAACTTGAAGTTCAGCTAGTTTTAATTGTGTATTCACTTCATTATTCAGTTGTCTATAAAATACTATACCATATATATTTACTATAACCAGCACAAATGTACAGTGTAAAATTTGATAAATTTTGACATAGGTATGCACCCATGAAACCATCACCGTAATTGATATATAGTCAACCCTCAGTATTTGTGAGGGATTGTTTCCAGGACCTCCTGCATACCAAAATCTGTGGATGCTCAAGTCCTTGGCATAGGACTTGGCATAGTCTTTGCCTACAACCTAACTCATATCCACTTCTATACTTCAAATCATCTCCAGATTACTTATAATACCTAATACAATGCAAATGCTATATAAATAGCAGTATTTATACTGTATTGTTTTTCATTTTTATTTTTGTAGTAGTATTGTTATTTTTTCATTTTTTGTAAGTATTTTCAATCTGTGATTGGTTGAATCACAGATGTGGAACCTGGGGATATGGAAGGCTGACTATAGTAAATATATCTATCATGACCACCTCCAAATTTGCTCATGCCCCTTTGTAAGCCCGTCCTCTTAATCATTACCCACACTGCTTGAGGCAACAACTGATCTGTTTCCTGTTACTATATATTAGTTTGCATTTTAAGTATTTTATACAAATAACCATACAGTATGTGTCTTTTTTTTCATTTGGCTTGTTTCATTCAGCATAAATATTTTGAGATTCATCTCTATTGTTCTTTTTATCATTTTATTCATTTCTCTCTATAGGTAAATGATTTTCCATTGCACAGATATTGCTACAGTTTATCCATTTACTGTTCAATGGACATTTGCATTGTTTCCAGTTCTCAGCTATTATGAATAAAGCTTTGCTGAAGAAAAATACTTTAGACAAGTTAAATTTAATAGAGTTTAATTGAGCAAAGAAAAATTAATGAATGAATCATGCAGCTCTTAGAACCAGAACAGATTCTAAGAACTCTGGCCTGCCATGTGGTTGTGCAGCATTTATGGACAGAAAACAGAAGTGAGATACAGAGGCAGTTTAGTTGGTGTTTTGCGTTATTTGAATCAGTTAGTCTCTTGTGATTGACTGAAGCTCAGCTACTGTAATTGACTGAGACTCAGCCATTTGATCTAAGGGTATTGTATGAGTCCATTCTCACATTGCTATACAGAACTACCTGAGACTGGGTAGTTTATCAAGAAAAGAGATTTAATTGACTCACAGTTCCATAGGCTGTGCAGGTGGCATGGCTGGGGAGGTCTCAGGAAACTTACAATCATGGCAGAAGGTGAAGGGGAAGCAAGCACATCTTACCATGGTGACAGGAGAGAGTGAAGAGGGAAGTGCTATACACATTCAAACAACCAGATCTCATGAGCACTCACTGGCTTTCACAAGAACAACAAGGGAGAACTCTGCCCCCTTAATCCAATCAACTCTAACCAGGCCCTTCCTCCAACATGTGGGGCTTACAATTCAGTATGAGATTTGGGTGGGGATACAGAACAAAACCATATCAAGTATACTTCTAAATTAGACCTTCAGTTCATTTATGTATTTATTAGGTTGCAGTTCATTACATAAGGACTTGAGTATGGAGGCATTCTCAGGCCAAATTTAGTTTAGTTTAATGTCTTCTATCAATGGGATTTTGGGAGGAAGACCACTGGAGTGTGACAGTCATCACATCATATCACATCATATCAAGGGTACATACTGTCAATAGGCCTTATCAACGTTGATAACCTGGTTCATCACCTAACCTTCATCACCTGGTTAGGTAGTGTTTTCCAGGTTTCTTCATTATAAAGTTTCTCTCCCCCATCCCTTTTCATATTTGTAATGTGCTCTTTGGAAGGAAGTCATTATGCAAGGCCACATTTAAAGAGTAGGGAGTTATGCTCCACCTTCTTGAGTATCGGCATAAGTTATTTTAAATTCTTCTGCATGGGAAATTTGTCCATTCTCCCAGGTTATTTATTTATTCAGCGGCTTATATTCATACAGATTTGTGGGCACTCATGAGGTTTTTTTGTACTTTGGATTATAACCTAATATTAAATTTTTGCTTGAATTGTTCCAGCTTTGTTCCTGTTCTGTTGCTTAGAGTTTTATTGGGAGCTCTTTCAGTTGGCTCCTGGATCCCTTTGACATATGCCCATCATTGTGGTGTCTTTTTTTTTTAAACACCTTCTTACTTTGGCACTACAAGATGCTCCAGGTATGTCTTGTATATTTCCTGCCCTAACCCCAGAATCAGTCATTTATCCCAGGACCCCTGGCTCCTTTTTGTTGGATGATAGTATTTAAAACCAAGATTTGGGCACTGGATGTGTTTTTTGCTACTAGGCCCTCTCAGCAGTTAGAACAAAGAGATGTATTCTAACCTATGTATATAAACTTATCTAAAAGTACTTCCATGTGTAACCAACCTTATGTATATTAAGTTAGACATGAGCTCATGCCAATGCTCCCAACTCTTTGTCTTGCTTATCTGTAACTTCCCACACTCACTACCTGCCATCCATCGACTTAATTATTCAGTTTTGGTGTGTACATATGGTGCTTTCAGAATTGTTAACCTAAAATTCAATGGGAAACAGCTTTTATCAACTAGACTACAGTGCTCATGAGCAGTTCCTATTGCCTTTATTCTTACAGACTCCATTAATTTCCAAAATTTCTTAGGTCTGAAACTAATTTTCCCCACCCAATTCTGTGAGATTGTTTCATGCATGTATAATACATTTAGTTATTTTTTATATCCCACATTCTCTGCTGGGATCCTCCTAAGTGATTTTTAAAAAAATTTCATACATTGAAGTGTATCTTTTTTGCTTTAAGTTTCTTTGGAATTTGAAAAATAATTAATGTCTTGTATTCACAATTACAGTATCATACAGAATAATTTCCATACCTAAAAAAATCATCTGTGCTTCTCCTATTCAATCATTTACCTCACCCTCTGCATCCCTGGAAACTACTCATCTGTTTACCATTTCTATACCTTTTCCAGGCTGTCATAGAATTGGAATCAGTTAGTAGAGAGCTTTGTCAGAGTGGCTTCTTTCACTTAGCAATATACATTTAAGATTCATTCCACTTTTTATGGCTTGATAGCTCATTTCTTTTTATTACTGAATAACATGCTATTGTATGCATGAACCATGGTTTATTTACCTATCGAAGGGCTTTTTGTTTGCTTCCAGATTTTGGTGATTATAAATAAAGTAGCTATAAACATTCACAAGCAGTTTTTACATGAACATAGTTCTTAAATCAATTGGGAATATACCTAGAAGCTTGATTGCTGGATTGTATGGTAAGACTCTGTTTAGTTTTATAAGAAATGGCCAAACTGTCTTCCAAAGTGACAGTGATGTCATCTGTGAATAGAGTTAGTTTTATTTCTTTCCAATTGGCATATATTTTTCTTTTTCTTGTTTTATTGCACTAGCTAGTATTTGTAGTACAACATTGAATTTGAGTGGTGTATTAGTCCATTTTCACACTGCTAATAAAGACATAGCTAAGACTGGGTAATTTATAAAGAAAAGGAGGTTTAATGGACTCAGAGTTCCACATGGCTGGGGTGGCCTTACAATCATGGTGAAAGACTAATGAGGAGCAAAGTCACGTCTTACATGGCAGCAGGCAAGAGAACTTGTGCACAGGGACTCCCATTTATATAACCATGAGATCTTGTGAGACTTATTTACCACCATGAGAACAGTATGGGGGAAACCATCCCCATGATTCAATTATCTCCACCTGGCCCTGCCCTTGACACATGGGGATTACTACAATTTAAGGTGACATTTGAGTGGGGACACAGCCAAACCACATCAAGTGGTGAGAAAGGAATCTTCACCTTGTTTCCAGGCTTGAGGTGCAAGTAAAAAGCATTTCACTCCCCATTAACTATTACGTTAACTTAGGGGTTTCTTGGTAGATGTTCTTTATCAAGTTGATAAATTTTCCCTTTATTTGTAGTTTGCTGATTTTTTAAAAAATCACGATTGGGTGGTATATGTTGTCATATGCTTTTTCTGTGTTAACTGGCATGATCATATGATTTTCTATCTGTAACCTGTTGATGTGTTAGATTATGTAAACCAAAAAGTATCTGAGCTAGGTCTCAGCCAATTTAGAAGTTCATTTTGCCAGGATTAAGGACATGCCTGTGACACAGCCTTAGTGGGTCCCAAGGAAAAATGCCCAAGGTGGTCAGCATACAGCTGGGTTTGATACATTTTAAGGAGACGTAAGACATCAACCAATACATGTAAGATTTCTACCAGTTCAGTCTGGAAAGATGGGAAAACTTGAAATAGGGGGGTGGGGGGGCTTCCAGGTCATAGGTGGATTCAGATTTTCTGATTGGCAATTTGTTGAAAGAGTTTATTTAAAGACATAGAATTGAGGAGAGGGGCAAGATGGCTGACTAGATGTAGCCAGGTGGAACAGCTCTCACAGAGGGACTGAGACAACTCATGTGCTTTTAACACATCTTCAGAGGAAAGATGCCAAGAGTGGATAGAAGGAAGACACAGAAGCTGGGCTGAAGGAGGAGAAAGCGTGGAACCCTGCATGGGACTACCATGCACCAGGACTCATTTTTGGGCCACAACAGCTCCAAGGGAATGGATGAGTTGAACTGGCAAAGAGCAACCCACTCTTACCATGGGACTCTGGAAGCCTGGCAGGAGGAGACTCCTTGACAATCGTGGACACTCAAGTTGGCAGGGAGAGCTGCTTAGAGAAGTGGTAGGGACAGCAAGCCAACTGATGTGGAGCCCAGATGGTTTAAAGTGGGAGCAATGGTAGTGGAGCATGGCTAGGTACAGCCACCCCTGTGGGCTCAACTTGCTCCATTGGAGACTCTAGCCCTAGGGGAACTGTCAGATCTGAACTCTGAAGGGTGGCCTTGCCCATCAGACAGGGCTGGTCTGACCTGAGCAATCCTTCGTCTGTTGGCATCTCCTGGGGCCCCAGCCTGGCCACACCTGCTTATACGGTAGTCTCGGGTGCCCTGGGGGGCTGTACCATAGCTTCTGTACTGGCAGACCATGCCTGACTGGTGAGGAGCTCCAGTGAGGCAGCCCCTATAGCCATTCACCAGCCCGCATGCTTCCTCCCCATACTGCAGCTTCCCCTAGGCCCATGACAACTCCCTACATCACTTTGCTGGCTTGTGTCTACATGGGAAGGTTTTGCTCTCCTTGCTCCATCAGTGTGTGGGAGTGCAGTAGCCCTCTCTCCCACAACCAACCACCTTTGCAGATAGACCCTTGGTGGGCACAGTGCTAGCAAACCCCATCCCCGCCAATGCCCCACCCTTGCACTAACACTGCACAGAGAACAGCAGATTCTCCCCCACACTAAGCAATCACTCCTGCTTGTGGGGCACAAAGAAGGCACCCAGACCTGTGGCTGCCGGCACCCCACCTTGAGCCAACACCATCTCCAGTGTGATCATGCACACAGTCTCCAGCAGAGGCCCCCCCTACTCACCACCAGCTATGTTGCCTCTGCCACTGTGGTGAATGCCCACAGTGAGGGAGTCACCCCAGTACCCACTAGCACTCTGCCACAACTGCCTCACCTCAGTGTCCCCAGCACAGTGTATTCCAAACCTTGAGGAGGCAGAAAACAAAGTCGGGGCTCAATACAAGTCTCCAGAGTTAGAGCACACAGTCCAGGAGTTGGGAGCTGAAGATTGGGCCTATAAAATCTTCCAGAAATAAATGCAGTCAGCTGAATCCACCTTATACAACAATCAAACCCTCAAGGCTATCAAATAGGATAAAAGAAAAAAAAATCCATCCAAAGGTCAGCAACCTTAAAGATTGAAGGTAGATAAGCCCACAAAGACACACAGTCATCAGATTTTCCAAGGTCAAAATGAAAGAAAAAAATGTTAAAGGCAGCTAGAAAGAAAGGTCAGGTCACCTATAATGGAAAACCCATCAGACTAACAGCAGACCTTTCAGCAGAAACCCTACAAGCTGGAAGAGATTAGGGTCCCATATTTGACATTCCTCAAGAAAAGAAATTTCAACCCAGAATTTCACATCCAGCCAAACATAAGTGAAGGAGTAATATGGTCCTTATGAGACAAGCAAATGCTGAGAAAATTCACTATTACCAGACCTGCCTTACAAGAGCTCCTGGAGGAAGCACTAAATATGGAAAGGAAAGACTGTTACCAGCCACTACAAAAACACACTGAAATACACAGACCAGTTACACTATAAAGCAACCACATAAACAAGTCTGCAAAATAAGCAACTAACATCATGATGACAGATCAAATCCACATGTATCTATACTAACGTTAAACATAAATGGGCCAAATGCCACCACTAAAATGGCAAGCTGGGTAAAGAACCAAGACCCACTGGTATGCTGTCTTCAAGAGACCCAGCTTGCAAGCAGTGACACACACAGGCTCAACATAAAAGGATGGGGAAAAATCTACCAAGCAAATGGAAAACAGAAAAAAGCAGGGGTTGCAATCCTAGTTTGTGACAAAACAGACTAAACCAACATAGAAAAGACAAAAATAATAGTGGGAGACTTTAATACCCCACTGATAATATTAAACAGATCACTGAGGCAGAAAATTAACAAAGATATTCGGGACCTGAAACTGAACCCCTTCCTTACACAATATACAAAAGTTAACTCAAGATGGATTAGAGACTTAAATGTAAAACCCAAAACTATAAAAACCCTAGGCAAAAATTGACAAATGGGTTCTAATTAAACTAAGGAGCTTCTGTACAATAAAGGAAACTATCAGCAGAGTGAACAGACAACCTACAGAATGGGAGAAAATTTTTGCAAACTATACAGCTGACAAAGGTCTAATATCCAGCATCTGTAAGGAACTTGACAAATTTACAAGAAAAAACCCAAACAACTCCATTAAAAAGAGGACAAAATACATGAACAGACACTTTCCAAAAAGGACATGTGTGGCCAAAAAACATATGAAAAAAGGTCAATATTACTGATCATTAGAGAAATGTAAGTCAACACCACAATGAGATACCATCTCACATGAGTCAGAATGGCTATTATAAAAAGTAAAAACAGATCCTGGTGAAGTTGTGAAGAAAAGGGAACACTTATACACTGTCAGTGAGGGGTATAAATTAGTTCAACCATTGTGGAAGACAGTGTTGTGGTTTCTTAAAGACCTAAAAACAGAAAAACCATTGAACCTAGCAATCCCATTATTGGGTATATATGCAAAGGAATATAAATTATTCTATTATAAAGAAACATGCACACATATGTTCACTGCAACACTATTCACAATAGCAAAGACATGGAATCAACTTAAATGCCCATCAATGATAGACTGGATAAAGAAAATGTGGTACATATATACCATGGAATACTATGCAGCCTTAAAAAAGAATGAGATCATGTCCTTTGCATGGACATGCATGGAGCTGGAGGCCCTTATCCTTAGCAAACTAACACGGGAAACCAAATACCACATGTTCTCACTTATAAATGGCAGCTAAATGATGAGCACACATGGATACATATAGGGGAACAGCATACAGGGGCTAATTGGAGGGTGGATAGTGGAATCAGTGAAAGGTTCAGGAAAAATAACTAATGGGTAATATGCATAATACCTGGGCGATGAAATAATCTGCACAACAAACCCCCATGATACAAGTTTACCTATACGACAAAACTGTACATGTACCCCTGAACTTAAAAGTTTTTTTTTTTTTAAACCTGGTATCCATAAAAGGGAGTGTCTGGGTTAAGATAAGGAGTTGTGGAGGCCAAGGTTCTTTTTACGCAGATAAAGCCTCCAGGTAGCAGGCTTCAGAGACAAAAGATTGTAAATATTTCTTATCAGAGTTAAAAAGGTACCAGACTCTTAGTTAATTCTCCTAGATCCGGGAAAAGATCTGGAAAGGGAAGGGGATTCTCTACAGAATGAATACTTTTCCCACAAGAGATAGCTTTGCAGGACCATTTAAAAATATGTCAAAGAAATACATTTTAAGGCAAAATGCTTTGATTTCTTTCAGGGCTTTCTATCTGTCATGTGATGCCATACTAGAGTCAGGCTGGAATTTGGTGTTTTCTTGCAACAAAAAGCATTAAACGCTCCATTTTAATGTTAATACTTGTCAGTTGCACCTGAATTCCAAATGGAGAGTGTATAATGATGCCTGTCCAAGCGCCCGCTTACCATCATGGCTGAACTAGTTTTTCAGGTTAACTTTGGAATGCCCTTGGCTGAGTGGAGGGGTCCGTGTAGATGGTTCAGAGGCTTAGAATTTTATTTTTAGTTACAATTGTATTGATTGATTTTCAAGGGTTAAACTAGCCTTGCTTACTTAGAATACACCCCAGTTGATCATGGTGTATAATTCTTTTTCTACACTGTCAGATCTTATTTGATAATATTTTATCCAGGATTTTCCTATTTGTATTCATGAGAGATATTGGTTTGTAGTTTTTGTTTCTTGTAATATCTTTATCTGCTTTTGATGGTGGGGTAGTGTTGGCTTCATGGAATGAGTTAAGAAGTGTGCCCTCTGCTTCTATTTTCTTGAGAAGATGAGTATCATATCTGAATCTGGGTCTGATGCTTGCTCTATCTCCTTAGAGCTTTATTTTGCCTTTTGGTATGCCTTACAATTTTTTTTTGTTGAAAGCTGTACATGTTGTGTCAGGTAATAGAAAACAATGTAAATAGACCTGTTCTGTGAGGATTTATGTTAATTTGGCTTGGATTTGGGCTGTGTTTGCTGTAATTGTAGGTTCCAGCCCCTTCCAATTCCTTCTGTGCCTTTGTTTTGCCTTCTCCTAATTTGGGCTTCCCTAAGTACTACTCCTCAGAAAGAATCTGAGTCTTGCATCTCTTTTAGCTGTAATCAACTATTATCATACTGGAGCCACATTTGTGTGGTGATAGGAGTGGGAGAAGAAACAAATTTTGTAATCTTCCAAAAAAAGTCAGTCTTTTAGTGGGCTTGTGTTTAGGGCCTAAAATCTTCACAAATGTTTCCTTTGTATAGCTTCTTCCCTATCCCTTTTAGGTGAAACATGAGGGCTAGAGAGGCTGGAGCTCCAATGCTCTGATAAAATATTTTCCTTTGTAGAAGACGCCTTTGTTATAAAGAAGGAGGCTCTGAGCATAGTTCACAAGGATTGCTTTTGCCCTTTTTCTGGCAGAGACAAAAGGGGATCTTTTCAATTTTTTGAAATTGCCATTTAAGCGTTTCTACAATATATGGCTTCTGCTATAGATAGGCAAATTTTGGCCGTGACTCTGAATGTGCTTGTTTCTTCACATTTGAAGGTGGTAGTGTGGCCTGCAAACTCAGTTTTTTCATGGGCCCAAGAAAACTCATTGGTTTTCAGTTTGTTCAGCTTTTTCTTGTAACAATGGAGTGGAGAATTTTAATCTCTTTATGTGTTTTAGCTGAAACTGGAAGTCTACTTCTTAAGATCTATTTATTTTACTCTACTAACTGTTGTTTCTTAATGTCTTACCCATTTTCCTCTCCTCACCTTCAATTCCCCATTACCATGCATATACACACAATACTTGTCCCTGTATGCCTCTGCAAGAATTTTTCTATTTTTATTTTTATTATCTAGTAGTTTTATGCTTTATTTATTTATTTATTTTTTATTATTATTATACTTTAAGTTTTAGGGTACATGTGCACAATGTGCAGGATGGTTACATATGTATACATGTGACATGCTGGTGTGCTGCACCCACTAACTCGTCATCTAGCATTAGGTATATCTCCCAATGCTATCCCTCCCCCCTCCCCCCACCCCACAACAGTCCCCAGGGTGTGATGTTCCCCTTCCTGTGTCCATGTGTTCTCATTGTTCAATTCCCACCTATGAGTGAGAATATGTGGTGTTTGGTTTTTTGTTCTTGCAATAGTTTACTGAGAATGATGATTTCCGATTTCATCCATGTCCCTACAAAGGACATGAACTCATCATTTGTTATTGCTGCATAGTATTCCATGGTGTATATGTGCCACATTTTCTTAATCCAGTCTATCATTGTTGGACATTTGGGTTGGTTCCAAGTCTTTGCTATTGTGAATAGTGCTGCAATAGACATACGTGTGCATGTGTCTTTATAGCAGCATGATTTATAGTCCTTTGGGTATATACCCAGTAATGGGATGGCTGGGTCAAATGGTATTTCTAGTTCTAGATCCCTGAGGAATCACCACACTGACTTCCACAATGGTCGAACTAGTTTACAGTCCTACCAACAGTGTAAAAGTGTTCCTATTTCTCCATATCCTCTCCAGCACCTGTTGTTTCCTGACTTTTTAATGATTGCCATTCTGACTGGTGTGATATGATATCTCATTGTGGTTTTGATTTGCATTTCTCTGATGGCCAGTGATGATGAGCATTTTTTCATGTGTTTTGTGGATGCATAAATGTCTTCTTCTGAGAAGTGTCTGTTCATGTCCTTCACCCACTTTTTGATGGGGTTGTTTGTTTTTTTCTTGTAAATTTGTTTGAGTTCATTGTAGATTCTGGTTATTAGCCCTTTGTCAGATGAGTAGGTTGCGAAAATTTTCTCCCATTTTGTGGGTTGCCTGTTCACTCTGATGGTAGTTTCTTTTGCTGTGCAGAAGCTCTTTAGTTTAATTAGATCCCATTTGTCAATTTTGGCTTTTGTTGCCATTGCTTTTGGTGTTTTAGACATGAAGTCCTTGCCCATGCCTATGTCCTGAATGGTAATGCCTAGGTTTTCTTCTAGGGTTTTTATGGTTTTAGGTCTAAAATTTAAGTCTTTAATCCATCTTGAATTGATTTTTGTATAAGGTGTAAGGAAGGGATCCAGTTTCAGCTTTCTACATATGGCTAGCCAGTTTTCCCAGCACCATTTATTAAATAGGGAATCCTTTCCCCATTGCTTGTTTTTCTCAGGTTTGTCAAAGATCAGATAGTTGTATATATGTGGCGTTATTTCTGAGGGCTCTGTTCTGTTCCATTGATCTATGTCTCTGTTTTGGTACCAGTACCATGCTGTTTTGGTTACTGTAGCCTTGTAGTATAGTTTGAAGTCAGGTAGCATGATGCCTCCAGCTTTGTTCTTTTGGCTTAGGATTGACTTGGTGATGCAGGCTCTTTTTTGGTTCCATATGAACTTTAAAGTAGTTTTTTCCAATTCTGTGAAGAAAGTCATTGGTAGCTTGATGGGGATGGCATTGAATCTATAAATTACCTTGGGGAGTATGGCCATTTTCACGATATTGATTCTTCCTACCATGAGCATGGAATGTTCTTCCATTTGTTTGTATCCTCTTTTATTTCATTGAGCAGTGGTTTGTAGTTCTCCTTAAAGAGGTCTTTCACGTCCCTTGTAAGTTGGATTCCTACGTATTTTATTCTCTTTGAAGCAATTGTGAATGGGAGTTCACTCATGATTTGGGTCTCTGTTTGTCTGTTATTGGCGTATAAGAATGCTTGTGATTTTTGCATATTGATTTTGTATCCTGAGACTTTGCTGAAGTTGCTTATCAGCTTAAGGAGATTTTGGGCTGAGACAATGGGGTTTTCTAGATATACAATCATGTCATCTGCAAACAGGGACAATTTGACTTCCTCTTTTCCTAATCAAATACCCTTTATTTCCTTCTCCTGCCTAATTGCTCTGGCCAGAATTTCCAACATTATGTTGAATAGGAGTGGTGAGAGAGGGCATCCCTGTCTTGTGCCAGTTTTCAAAGGGAATGTTTCCAGTTTTTGCCCATTCAGTATGATATTGGCTGTGGGTTTGTCATAGATAGCTCTTATTATTTTGAGATACGTCCCATCAATACCTAATTTATTGAGAGTTTTTAGCATGAAGGGTTGTTGAATTTTGTCGAAGGCCTTTTCTGCATCTTTTGAGAGAATCATGTGGTTTTTGTCTTTGGTTCTGTTTATATGCTGGATTACATTTATTGATTTGTGTATATTGAACCAGCCTTGCATCCCAGGGATGAAGCCCACTTGATCATGGTGGATAAGCTTTTTGATGTGCTGCTGGATTCAGTTTGCCAGTATTTTATTGAGGATTTTTGCACCAATGTTCATCAAGGATATTGGTCTAAAATTCTCTTTTTTGGTTGTGTCTCTGCCAGGCTTTGGTATCAGGATGATGCTGGCCTCATAAAATGAGTTAGGGAGGATTCCCTCGTTTTCTATTGGTTGGAATAGTTTCAGAAGGAATGGTACCAGTTCCTCCTTGTACCTCTGGTAGAATACGGCTGTGAATTCATCTGGTCCTGGACTCTTTTTGGTTGGTAAGCTATTGATTTTTGCCACAATTTCAGCTCCTGTTATTGGTCTATTCAGAGATTCAACTTCTTCCTGGTTTAGTCTTGGGAGAGTGTATGTGTCGAGGAATTTATCCATTTCTTCTAGATTTTCTAGTTTATTTGCGTGGAGGTGTTTGTAGTATTTTCTGATGGTAGTTTGTATTTCTGTGGGATTGGTGGTGATATCTCCTTTATCATTTTTTATTGCATCTATTTGATTCTTCTCTCTTTTTTTCTTTATTAGTCTTGCTAGCAGTCTATCAATTTTGTTGATCCTTTCAAAAAACCAGCTCCTGGATTCATTAATTTTTTGAAGGGTTTTTTGTGTCTCTATTTCCTTCAGTTCTCCTCTGATTTTAGTTATTTCTTGCCTTCTGCTAGCTTTTGAATGTGTTTACTCTTGCTTATCTAGTTCTTTTAATTGTGATGTTAGGGTGTCAATTTTGGATCTTTCCTGCTTTCTCTTGTGGGCATTTAGTGCTATGAATTTCCCTCTACACACTGCTTTGAATGTGTCCCAGAGATTCTGGTATGTTGTGTCTTTGTTCTTGTTGGTTTCAAAGAACAGCTTTATTTCTGCCTTCATTTCGTTATGTACCCAGTAGTCATTCAGGAGCAGGTTGTTCAGTTTCCATGTAGTTGAGCAGTTTTGAGTGAGTTTCTTAATCCTGAGTTCTAGTTTGATTGCACTGTGGTCTGAGAGATAGTTTGTTATAATTTGTGTTCTTTTACATTTGCTGAGGAGAGCTTTACTTCCAAGTATGTGGTTAATTTTGGAATAGGTGTGGTGTGGTGCTGAAAAAAATGTATGTTCTGTTGATTTGGGGTGGAGAGTTCTGTAGATGATGTCTATTAGGTCCGCTTGGTGCAGAGCTGAGTTCAATTCCTGAGTATCCTTATTGACTTTCTGTCTCGTTGATCTGTCTAATGTTGACAGTGGGGTGTTAAAGTCTCCCATTATTAATGTGTGGGAGTCTAAGTCTCTTTGTAGGTCACTCAGGACTTGCTTTATGAATCTGGGTGCTCCTGTATTGGGTGCATATATATTTAGGATAGTTAGCTCTTCTTGTTGAATTGATCCCTTTACCATTATGTAATGGCCTTCTTTGTCTCTTATGATCTTTGTTGGTTTAAAGTCTGTTTTATCAGAGACTAGAATTGCAACCCCTGCTTTTTTTTGTTTTCCATTTGCTTGGTAGATCTTCCTCCATCCTTTTATTTTGAGCCTATGTGTGTCTCTGCATGTGAGATGGGTTTCCTGAATGCAACACACTGATGGGTCTTGACTCTTCATCGAGTTTTCCAGTCTGTGTCTTTTAATTGGAGCATTTAGTCCATTTACATTTAAAGTTAATATTGTTATGTGTGAATTTGAACCTGTCATTATGATGTTAGCTGGTTATTTTGCTTGTTAGTTGATGCAGTTTCTTCCTAGTCTTGATGGTCTTTACATTTTGGCATGATTTTGCAGTGGCTGGTACCGGTTGTGCCTTTCCATGTTTAGTGCTTCCTTCAGGAGCTCTTTTAGGGCAGGCCTGGTGGTGACAAAATCTCTCAGCATTTGCTTGTCTGTAAAGTATTTTATTTCTCCTTCACTTGTGAAGCTTAGTTTGGCTGGATATGAAATTCTGCGTTGAAAATTCTTTTCTTTAAGAATGTTGAATATTGGCCCCCACTCTCTTCTGGCTTTTAGAGTTTCTGCTGAGAGATCCGCTGTTAGTCTGATGGGCTTCCCTTTGTGGGTAACCCGACCTTTCTCTCTGGCTGCCCTTAACATTTTTTCCTTCATTTCAACTTTGGTGAATCTGACAATTATGTGTCTTGGAATTGCTCTTCTCGAGGAGTATCTTTGTGGTGTTCTCTGTATTTCCTGAATCTGAATGTTGGCCTGCCTTGCTAGATTGGGGAAGTTCTCCTGGATGTATCCTGCAGAGTGTTTTCCAACTTGGTTCCATTCTCCCTGTCACTTTCAGGTACACCAATCAGACATAGATTTGGTCTTTTCACATAGTCCCATATTTCTTGGAGGCTTTGTTCGTTTCTTTTTATTCTTTGTTGTCTAAACTTCCCTTCTTGCTTCATTTCATCTTCCATCGCTGATACCCTTTCTTCCAATTGATTGCATCAGCTCCTGAGGCTTCTGCATTCTTCACGTAGTTCTCGAGCCTTGGCTTTCAGCTCCATTAGCTCCTTTAAGCACTTCTCTATATTGGTTATTCTAGTTATACATTCGTCTACATTTTTTTCAAAGTTTTTAACTTCTTTGACTTTGGTTTGAATTTCCTTCTGTAGCTTGTAGTTTGATCATCTGAAGCCTTCTTCTCTCAACTCGTCAAAGTCATTCTCCATCCAGCTTTGTTCCATTGCTGGTGAGGAACTGCGTTCCTTTGGAGGAGGAGAGGTGCTCTGCTTTTTAGAGTTTCCAGTTTTTCTGCTCTGTTTTTTCCCCATCTTTGTGGTTTTATCTACTTTTGGCCTTTGATGATGGTGATGTACAGATGGGTTTTTGGTGTGGATGTCCTTTCTGTTTGTTAGTTTTCCTTCTAATAGACAGGACCCTCAGCTGCAGTCTGTTGGAGTTTGCTAGAGGTCCACTCCAGACCCTGTTTGCCTGGGTATCAGCAGCGGTGTCTGCAGAACAGTGGTTTTTCGTGAACCGTGAATGGTGCTGTCTGATCGTTCCTCTGGAAGTTTTGTCTCAGAGGAGTACCCGGCCTTGTGAGTTGTCATTCTGCCACTACTGGGGGTTGCCTCCCAGTTAGGCTGCTCGGGGGTCAGGGGTCAGGGACCCACTTGAGGAGGCAGTCTGCCCATTCTCAGATCTCCAGATGTGTGCTGGGAGAACCACTGCTCTCTTCAAAGCTGTCAGACAGGGACATTTAAGTCTGCAGAGGTTACTGCTGTCTTTTTGTTTGTCTGTGCCCTGCCCCCAGAGATGGAGCCTACAGAGGCAGGCAGGCCTCCTTGAGCTGTGGTGGGCTCCACCCAGTTGGAGCTTCCCAGCTGCTTTGTTTACCTAAGCAAGCCTGGGCAATGATGGGTGCCCCTCCCCCAGCCTCGCTGCCACCTTGCAGTTTGATCTCAGACTGCTATGCTAGCAATCAGCGAGACTCCATGGGCGTAGGACCCTCCGAGCCAGGTGCGGGATATAATCTCCTGGTGTGCCGTTTTTTAAGCCCATCGGAAAAGCTCAGTATTCCGGTGGGAGTGACCCGATTTTCCAGTTGCTGTCTGTCACCCCTTTCTTTGACTAGGAAAAAGAACTCCCTGACCTCTTGTGCTTCCCGAGTGAGAGAATGCCTCGCCCTGCTTCGGCTTGTGCATGGTGCACTGCACCCACTGACCTGCACCTACTGTCTGGCACTCCCTAGTGAGATGAACCTGGTACCTCAGATGGAAATGCAGAAATCAGCCGTCTTCTGCGTCGCTCAGGCTGGGAGCTGTAGACCGGAGCTGTTCCTATTCGGCCGTCTTGGCTCCTCCCCCATAGTTTTATGCTTTAAATTAAATCTTTGATTCATCTTGAATTTATTTTGGTAGAAAAAGTGAGATGGTAATCAGTTTTTTTTGTTTTCATCCAAATGCCAGACCATTATTTCAAATGATCCATCTTTTCCCCACTGACATGAAATGCTGATCTTTTTTATATACTAAATTAAAAAATATATTTCATCATTTTTCAACTCTCAATTTTTTAATTGTTGTGTCAGTTTACTCCTATATCAGTATCAATTTTTTTCATATAAGTTTCACAGCTTGGTAAATTACTAATAAACACTTTTTAAAAAAATGGTAATACATTAATTGCATATGTTATTTTAAGGATAATTGATCTTTATAATATTTATTTTGCCTCTCCAAGAATAGGTATATCTTTTTATTTATTCTAAATTTTCTTCCACAAACTTCTTAATTTATTGTAAATATATTATCTCTTAATTGAATTTCCTTGCCAGTTATCATTTGCATATAGGAAAGCATAAAGGATATCATTTGCATATAGGAAAGCATTTTGGTAAATGTATTTTGTACCCATGATTTTACTGAATTATCTCATTGTGTATAATCATTTTTTAGTTGTCTTTCTTGGGTTTATGGTTAAATAATCACATCATTTTCAAATAATGATAATTTTGCCTTTTCCTTTCTATTTTTTTGTGTCATTTATTTGTTGTCTAATGATAATGACCAATATTTTTAGAATAATATTAGCTTGTTTTATTATAATAGACTTTTAAAACCATATTTATCATTGCCTTGATAGAATATGAAGTCCTTGAGGTACAGACTTTTACTATCTTTAATCTGTAACATAATATAGGCATAAAACAGGTAATCAATTGGTAATTGTTAAATGATCCAGCCAGGGTAAGGTAGACTAGGCTGAGCTTAAGTGAGTAGATATGTACTCCACCCAGGTGAATCAGCCTAGGTAAATTGAGTATCCTCTAATGTCACAGGGATAGCAAAAGTGACTCTTCATCAGACCTATAAGTCTGGTGTGAGTCCCATAGCTAGAACCTGTGATTTTGAACACCACTGGGTCATCAAACAGCTGACTCCTTCAACGTCTGTCTCAGATCAGTTGAAGTTATGAAATGCTCCTGCTCAAGGCCCATTTTTTTAGCCACACATGCCCTGAAAATAGTGATTTTAAAAGACTCTGTACAGAAGAGAAATAGCAAAAGAGAAGTAGAATGGCTTTGTGGATTCTATGCAGTCATCCTGCAGCCCTCAGGACATCCTCAGAGAAGCAGCAAGGATCCTTCTCTGGCTCCTGAATGGGACTCCAACAGTGGTCCTGTGTTGGGAATAGGATGATGGAAGGCAGCAGTTTGGCTTCCTGTTGCGGCAAGTCAGGGACCCTGAACGGAGGGACCGGCTGAAGCCATGGCAGAAGAATGTGGATTGTGAAGATTTCATGGACATTTATTAGTTCCCCAAATTAATACTTTTATAATTTCTTATGCATGTCTTTACTGCAGTCTCTGAACATAAATTGTGAAGATTTCATGGACACTTATCACTTCCCCAATCAATACCCTTGTGATTTCCTATGTCTGTCTTTAATCTCATAATCCTGTCAGCTGAGGAGGATGTATGTCACCTCAGGATCCTGTGATAATTGCATTAACTGCACAAATTGTAGAGCATGTGTGTTTGAACACTGTGAAAGCTGGGCACCTTGAAAAAAGAACAAGATAACAGCAATGTTCAGGGAATAAGAGAGATAACCTTAAATTCTGACCGCTGGTGAGCCGGGCAGAACAGAGCCATATTTCTCTTCTTTCAAAAGCAAATGGGAGAAATGTCACTGAATTCTTTTTCTCAGCAAGGAACATCCCTGAGAAAGAGAATGCACCCCTGAGGGTGGTTCTCTAAAATGGCCCCCTTGGGTGTGGCCATCTTCTACAGTCGAAACTGTAGGGATGAAATAAACCCTAGTCTCCCATAGCACTCCCAGGCTTATTAGGAAGAGGAAATTCCTCCTAATAAATTTTGGTCAGACTGGTTGCTCTCAAACTCTGTCTCCTGATAAGATGTTATCAGTGACAGTGGTGCCCGAAACTTCATTAGCAATTTTAATTTTGCCCCGGTCCTGTGGTCCTGTGATCTTGCCTTGCCTCCATTTGCCTTGTGATATTCTATTACCTTGTGAAGCACGTGATCTCTGTGACCCACACCCTATTCATACACTCCCTCCCCTTTTTAAAGTCCCTAATAAAAACTTGCTGGTTTTGTGGCTTGTGGGGCATCATGGAACCTACCGACATGTGAAGTCTCCCCTGGACACCCAGCTTTAAAATTTCTCTCTTTTGTACTCTGTCCCTTTATTCCTCAAACCGGCTGACACTTAGGGAAAATAGAAAAGAACCTACGTGACTATTGGGGCAGGTTCCAAAGGCAGCAGTTTGGCTTCCCTGTACATAATAAGCATCAGGACTCTTTGAAGTGTGTGTAGGGGCGGACATACCTCAAAGGCAGCTGCGAGAACTCCATCTGTGAGGCCTACCTAGAACGTGGTGAGGGTAACAGAGCATCAGTAATGGGCAAGATGAAAAAGACAGCTGCTGGTTGGAATGGGTCCAGAGTGAGAAGAGCAACTGCAGTACATAAACCAAAGACACCTGTATCTTTGGGTTCTGAGCAGGGGCCAAAGTAGGGATGGCTTAATGGGCTTTCAAACATATGAACAGACCTGAGGCCCATGGCCTTGGCTTGTGGCCCAATGGACAAATGTCTATGGCTTGGTACTAGCTCCTGTAACCCAAATTTGGTGGCTCAAGAATATTGCTCTCCTTTTCAACTCTATTCCAGTAAGTCCTTCATCATGCTTTTTTATTTCAGAGAAGATTGCTTCTAATGTTTTCATTAGAAAAATGAATATTATGATGGATTTCCATTTTCCAATGAGGTTAATTGGCCATGGGCAATAATAATAAGCACTATATCTAGTGGCAAGAAAAGCAGAGGAATGTTGTTCACAAATTGCTGGGGGCAAGCAGAGATCATGGGCTCACTTGAGGAATTGAGGCTTTTGATTAGCTGTGTGACTTGAGGCAATCTCAGTGCCCAGCACTGTATTCTCAAATGGGGTTTGTGCATTTGTTGTCTCATTCATTCATCCACTCATTTGTTCATGAAATCCTTTTTGAGTGCATATAATATTACATGTAGATCATGTGCATGGGACTGTAGATTCAAAGATGAATAGACCATCCTCCAGGCTGGTGTGGATAATGTATTACTTTCCTTTCTTTATACAGAACATAAATGTAATTTTGGTCATAAATCTTTATGAGAATGATAAGTGAGCAATAGATCCTCTCTCCAGGAAAAGTCACATGAGCCAAATTTTACATCGGTGCTGCAAAGCTACCTGAAGCATGTCCATAGAGTGTCTCAGATTGAGATATGATGCCAGGAATGCAGTAGGCCTCAGAATTGAGTGCAGAAGGAAGTGGGCTTCATGCATCAGAATAGTGAATGCCATAATTCTGACCAAGATCTGCTCTAACATTTCATTTGATTTTTTAACCCATTTTTAAAAATTTAAACACTCACATATTTCCCTCTCTGGGATAGTGTAAAATATTACTGAACTGTGGTGAGGGATTGGTTGAGGATGGAGACCAAACATGTCGTAGTACTGCCAGTTGGCTGTATGTGTCTCTACAGCAGCCTGAGGATGCTGGAAACCTTTTGGGTAGATTGATCCAGGGTCTTGCCTAGGATCACATGGGTTGTTAACAGCAGAGGCAGAACACAGACTTCCTGATTCACAGGTCTGTGCCTTTACCACTGGCTTAGACCTCGTTCCAGACCCAAATTCTGTCTCTAGGTCTATCTTCTGGCCTGAAAACCGCATGTAGGTCTAATGGATACTTTTTCTGAAGGCAGCTAATAATTTGTTTACCAGAGTTGTTAGAGAAAAATATGGTTAGTGAAGTGTTTCCCTGACTGAAATGAATATGTTAAATATGTGCCCCTTTATTACACACACAATTTTAAGGGCAAAAAAAAAAAAAAAAAAAAACCTCAAAAGAAGCCCTTTATCTTATTATCTTATTTAAGATATAAAACAATACTTTTCTGTGATTCCCAAATGAATATATATATATACATTTGTATGTGTGTGTATATATATATATACACACACACACACATATATATGGAAAAGATAGTTTTCTGGAGAGAACTTTTTTTCAATGATGTAGGACACTACTATTGTCCATACAGAATTTTAAAATGCAGAAGTTAGGACTTGAAATGCTGACAGACTCACAACCTCAGAGGCCAAATGGCACCACAATGAATTCTCATATTTTTTACTTTCAAAAAACCCTAGAGACCGCTTTTATTGCATATTTTATGGAGCCATCTGTCTTTTTACTAGAGCTAGTATAGGTTCAAAACTTTAAATACAATTTTTCTTTTTGTCAAAGGGCCACAACTGCATGCAGTGCCATGGCCAGTAGTAAATTTCCAGGGTTTACAATGGAAGGAAGAGTCAGCACAGTATTAAAGCCTGATGCACCTGCTGTTATGGCAACTGCACTCTAGGAGGCATTTCTCATTAGATGTGTTTTTCTACCTTGGCCAAGATTAGTCAATGTCATAAATCATCTTAATTGATAATATTCTTTTTAGAGATCTTTTGGATTTGCTGACATGAGGTCATTTAAAATTCTTTATATTTCAAATAAGACCCCATAAAGTGAAAGGCTTCCTTCAAATCCATATTTTGCTGCCTGGGAATAAGGGGGTGGGGGTGCAAAATATGAAGAATATGTGCTTGCTTGGGGTAAAGCACTATGGTAACTATGTGAAAGAAATGGTTTAAGCTTCAGTGGAGCCTAAATATAATTTAGACATACACAATGCAAGTCCAAGGATATTTGTACATAAAGTATACAGGGCTTGATATAGGGAAAGCATTTTATGCAGTCAGTCATTATCCACTAGGCTGCTACTCCTACTGATACTATGCTTAAAATCAGATTTGAAAAAAATCATAAGTCATAATTCATGTCCATCATAATGGAAATGCTGCTGAGGTCATTTTCACATTTATTATGAAAGATGCCTCAACTTCCAAAAGGCTATAGATCATATTAGTGAGAATGCAAGAGTAGAGGAACTCATAATTTTAATTAAAGCTGCCAGCAGCGTTTTCCAAAATTTTTTGGAGCATGCTAACGGTGTCTTCTGGGAGGATTGTTAATATTCAGAGTTAGGAGGGAGTATACTTGTTTCTCAGAGGTTGATCTAGAAAATTAGGTTTGGAATAGAGAATAATCTGGGCACTGTTTTGTTTTTAGCAAGAGTAATGGTGGAGGTGGTAGGGCAGTTGAGAAAGCACTGTGGAGTGAATGGCAAATTTCTCTCAGAAGTTTAGGTCAGTGGGTCTCAAATTTGGGTGCATAAGAATCAGTTGGTGTACCGGTTAAAAATGTAGATTTCTAGATCCTAGTCCCCAGTGATTTTTATTGAGAATATAGAGGGTGGGACCCAGGAAAACTGCAGTGTCAAGAAGCCCCCTTCTGATTCTGATCAGCTACCCTATGGTCCACACTGTAAAATATTGGGGACCCTGTCATGACTTAAATTTGTATGCTAATTGTATTAGTCCATTTTCACACTGCTATGAAGAACTACCTGAGGCTGGGTAATTTGTAAAGAAAAGAGGTTCAATTGACTCACAGTTCCACAGGTTGTACTGAAGGCATGGCCTGGGGGGCCTCAGGAAACTTATAGCAATGGTGGAAGGGAAAAGGGGAAGCAGGCACATAATCACATGGCAGCAGGAGAGAGAGAGAACAAAGCAGGAAGCGCTACACAGCTTAAACAACCAGATCTCATGAGAACTCACTCACTATCATGAGACAGCAAGGGGGAAATCTGCCCCCATGATCTAATCACCTCTAACCAGGTACCTCCCCCAACACTGGGAATTACAATTCGACATGAGATTTGGGGACATAGAACCAAACCATGTCACTAATATTTCTAGATTTCATTCTGAACAGTAATAACTTACTAAATACACTATTTCTTCTTAAAAACCTGAGGGTAGTAGCAGTAGTATTTTTTTCAAATCACAATAGATGAACATACTTGATTTAAAAGCAAAACATTATGCTTTTAATCAATAATAGGCTGACAGAAACTTGAATGAAGTTTCTACATGGAAGTCACATAATATATTGACAGCAAAACTACTAGACTGATGATACATTGTCTGTCCTATTGCCGGTCCTATCCCAGACTTCAGATATGACAAGTACCTTCCCTTGCACACTTACACAGACATCATTCATTGATAATACCATACTTTCCAGCTACATCAGATGCAACCTCAGAATTCTTCTCAGCAAAAACAGTCATTACCAAGTTATCAAAGCTGGTGTGGGTGTGCAATTGTATTTGACATAACTGTCCCATCCCAAACAAAAAGCACTCTTCTTTCCTTCTTTATTTTATTCTCTCCTTCCTTTCCTCTCTCCTTACCTCTCCTCCCCACCCTCCAAAGCTTTCGGAAACAAGTGGTCCATATAACTCATATTGAAGCAAAATGGAAGACCCTATTTTGTCCTAAATTAAATCAAACCAAGAGCAGGGCTTCCGGGATCTTAAAAGAAAGCATGAAACTCCACCTATTTTCTTAGAAAATTCTCCTGGTAATGGTACATTTGTTTCTAAACAGGCAACAGATGGTCGATATCTATCCATTTTTAAGAAGATAGTGATTTCAAACCACATCTTCAAGTTCATCAAAGTACCGAGGAATCAAGAATCCTACATTTCTTTTTGAGGTTTCAATTTTGAATAAGCCGACAAAATAAACACTCTAAATTATTTTAGGAAAACATCATGTGTCTCAATTTAATCATTTTTTATGCTTAGCCAAATTGTATTTTGTGTACTTTTCTCTAAAATCTATACTTTGTTAAGTTGTGATGGTTAGATCATGTTTTAAAGTAGAAAATAACATAATCTCATTTTAGGAAATGTAGGATACTCAGAAAAATATGTAAAAGAAAATGAGCACCACCTATAAAATCACTACCCAAAGATAACTACTATTAAGACTTTGGTACATTTTTATTCATTCTATTATCCATGTATCTTCATGTGAATGTGTCTTTTTCTTTGATTTTCCCACAATATCTAGGTCATTTGGGGCATACTGTTTCCATCTGTCTTTTTTTTTTAATTTTCTTTTCTCATCTTTTATTTTCTTTCTTGCTTTTTTTTTTTCTTTTAGACAAGGTCTCGCTCTCTCACCCAGGCTGGAGTAATCTTGAACTCCTTAGCTCAAGTGATCCTTCCACCTAACCTCCTAAAGCTCTAGGATTACATCTGGGAGCTACCATACCCAGCACATAAAATTAGGCCATGTAATTAAATTATCTTTTCAAAACATATGTTTTCAACTCTAAGCTCAGGGGCACATGTGCAGGTTTGTTGTATAGGTAAACTTGTGGGTTTGTTGTTGTACAGATTATTTCCTCACTCAAGTATTAAGCCTAGTAGCCATTAGTTAATTTTTCTGAACCTCTCCATCCTCCTACCATCCACCTTCTGATAAGCCCCAGTGTGTGTTTTTCCCCTCTATGTGTCCATGTGTGCTCATCATTTAGCTCTCATTTATAAGTGAGAATGTGTGGTATTTGGTTTCTGTTCCTGTGTTAGTTTCCTAAGGGTAATGGCTTCCAGCTCCATACATGTCGCTGCAAAGGATATGATCTCAATCTTTTTTATGGCTACATAGTATTCCATAGTATATATGTACCTTATTTTCTTTATCCAGTCTGTCATTGATGAGCATTTAGATTGATTCCATGTCTTTGCTATTGTGAATAGTGTTGTAATGAACATACATGTATATATGTCTTTAAAACAGAACAATTTATATTCCTTTGGATATATACCCAGTAATGGGATTGCTGGGTCAAATGGTATTTCTGCCATTTGGTCTTTGAGGAATCACTGAACTGTCTTCCACAGTGGTTGAACTAATTTGCATTACCAACAGTGTATATGCATTTCTTTTTCTCCACAACCTCTCCAGCATCTGTTATTTTTTGACTTTTTAATAATAGCCATTCTGACTGGTGTGAGATGGTATCTCTTGTGGTTTTGATTTACATTTCTCTAATGGTTAGTGATATTGAGCTTTTTTTCATATGGTTGTTGGCCTCCTGTATGTCTCCTTTTGAAAAGTGTCTATTCATGTCTTTTGCCCACTTTTTGATGGAGTTGTTTTTTCTTGTAAATTTGTTGAAGTTCCTTATAGATGCTGGATATTAAACTTTTGTTGGATGCATAGTTTGCAAAAATTTTCTCCCATTCTGTAGGTTGTCTGTTTACTCTGTTGATAGTTTCTTTTGCTGTGCAGAAGCTCTTTAGTTTAATTAGATCCCATTTGTCAATTTTTGCTTTTGATGCAATTGCTTTTGGCATCTTAGTCATGAAACTTTTGCCTGTACATATGTCCTGAATGGTATTGCCTAGGTTGTCTTCCAGGGTTTTTATAGTTTTTGGCTTTACATTTAAGTCTTTAATACATCTTGAGTTAACTTCTGTATGTGATGTAAGGAAAGAGTCCAGTTTTAATCATCTGCACATGGCTAGCCAGTTATCCAGTACCATTTATGAATAGGAAATCTTTTCCCCATTGCTTGTTTTTGTCAGGTTTGTCAAGGATCAGATAGTTGTAGGTGTGTAGTCTTACTTCTGGGTTTTCTATTTGGTTCCATTGGTCTATGTGTCTGTTTTTTACCAGTACCATGCTGTTTTTGTTACTGTAGCCCTGTAGTATAGTTTGAAGTTAGGTAGCATGATGCCTCCAGCCTTTTTTTTTTTTTTCCTTAGGATTTCCTTGGCTATTTGGGCTCTTTTCATTCTATATGAATTTTAAAATAGTTTTTTTCTAGTTCTGTGAAGAATGTAAATGTGAGTTTAATAGGAATAGCCTTCAATCTATAAAAAGCCATACTGCTTTGGGCAGTATGGTGATTTTAATGGTAGTGATTCTTCCTATCCATGAGCATGGAATGTTTTTTCATTTGTTTGTTGATCAAAATCTCTGATTTCTTTGATCAGTGGTTTGTAGTTCTCCTTGTAGAGATCTTTCACCTCCATAGTTAGCTGAATTTCTGGGTATGTAATTCTATTTTTGGCAATTGTAAATGGGAGTTTGTTCTTGATTTGGCTCTTAGCTTAACTATTGTTGTTTTATAAGAATGCTGGTGAATTTTGCACATTGCTTTTGTGTCCTGAGGCTTGATGAAGTTGTTTGTCAGCTTATAAGAAGCTTTTAGGCTCAGACTGTGGGGTTTTCTAGATATAGAATCATGTCATGTACTAACAAAGATAATTTGATTTCCTCTGTTCTTATTTAAGTACTCTTTATTTTTTTCTCTTGCCTGATTGCCCTGGCCAGAACTTCCAATACTAAGTTGAATAGGAGTGATGAGAAAGGGCATCCTTGTCCTGTGCCAGTTTTCAAGGGGGATGCTTCTAGTTTTTGCCCATTCAGTATGATGTTGGCTTTGGGTTTGTTATAGGTGGCTCTTATTATTTTGAGGTATGTTCCTTCAATACCTAGTTTATTGAGATTTTTTTAACATGAGTGGATGTTGTAATTTGTTGAAAGCCTTTTCTGTATCTATTAAGATAGTCATGTGGTTTTTGTCTCTAGTTCTGTTTATGTGATGAATCACATTTATTAATTTGTATATGTTGAACCAACCTTGCATCCCACGGATAAAGCCTACTTGATCATGGTGGATAAACTTTCTGATATGCTGCTGGATTTGATTTGCCACTATTTTGTTCAGGATGTTTGTATCGATGTTCATCAAAGATATTGGCCTGAAGTTTTCTTTTCTTTTCTTTTTTTCTTTTTTTTTTTTGTATCTCTGCCAGGTTTTGGTATCAGGATGATGCTGGCCTTATAAAATGGGTGAGGGAGAATTCCTTCCTCCTCAATTTTTTTGGAATAGTTTCAGTAGGAATGGTACCATTTCTTCTTTGTACATATGGTAGAATTTAGCTGTGAATCCATCTGGTCCTGGGCTTTTTTGGTTGGTAGGCCATTTATTACTGCCTCAGTTTTAGAGCTGATAATTGATCTGTTCAGGGATTCAATTTCCTCCTGGCTCAGTCTTGGGAGGTTGTATGCGTTCAGGAATGTATCTATTTATTCTAGATTTTCTAGTTTATGTGCATAGAATTGTTCATAATATTCTCTGATGGTTGTTTGTATTTCTGTGGGGTCAGTGGTAATATCTCCCTTGTCCTTTCTGATTATGTTTATCAAAACATATTTTTATGTGTGTTAGTACTGCAAGAATTTTATTAGGCATACCTGTGTGAGAGAAAATAGAAAGTGGGCTAGATATGGCTGGGATGGCCACCATACCACCATTGAAGTCTGAATGGGTCTGCTTTAGGATATTGTGTTCTGGAAGTAGGCCTTGGGAGGTCTGGCCTTGGTGGAAATGCAACAGTGAATTTTATATTTTATTTTATTTATTTATTTATTTTTTATTATTATTATTATACTTAAAGTTTTAGGGTACATGTGCACAATGTGCCGGTTAGTTACATATGTATACATGTGCCATGCTGGTGTGCTGCACCCATTAACTCGTCATTTAGCATTAGGTATATCTCCTAATGCTATCCCTCTCCCCTCCCCCCACCCCACAACAGTCCCCAGAGTGTGATGTTCCCCTTCCTGTGTCCATGTGTTCTCATTGTTCAATTCCCATCTATGAGTGAGAACATGCGGTGTTTGGTTTTTAGTTTTGAGATAGTGTCTCACTCTATCAACCAGGCTAGAGTGCATTGGCACAATCTCGGCTCACTGCAACCTCCGCCTGCCAGGTTCTAATGATTCTCGTGCCTCAGCTACCTGAGTAGCTGGGATTACAGGCAAGTGCCACCATACCCAGCTAATTTTTGTATTTTTAGTAGAGATGGCGTTTCACTATGTTGGCCAGGCTGGTCTTGTACTCCTGGCCTCAAGTCATCTGCCCGCCTCGGCCTCCCAAAGTGTTGGAATTACAGGCATGAGCCACCACACCTGGCACAACAGTGAATTTTACAATGCAGCAGCCAGTGAGTCCTTGGTCCTATTATATTTCCTGTAATTGTAGGTCTATTAGGTATAGTCCTACAGTCCCCGCATTAGGATTGAGTGATAATTGATCATATAGATAGATTTTTCTCAATCTTTTCCAACAACTATTGTATACCAGTGATTTTTTTTGGTTCCTATATAGTTTCTGGATCACTAATCAAATTTATTTCTAAATTTATTTTATAATATTTAATATTTCTAAATAGTTTTTCTAAAAGAATTTCTATATAAACTATGATTAATCTATCTACTTATTTGGAAGGTAGACATCATTCTACTAGTGTCTATCTTCAGGTTTTTCAAAATATTTTTTCAGTCTATATTTGGCACCAGTTTATAAAACAGTTATTTAACATATTTATACCCTCTTCCTCTTCAATTTTTCATCTTCAGGAATATTATATGGAGTTTGAGGCTAAGATTATTATTATTATTGTATTATTAGACTTAGAGAATATAAGACCTTTCTTGTATGCCCTAACTTTCAGCCAGCTGATCCAAGTTAAAGATTATAATATGGCTATGCACTTAGGACAAGCCACACTAATTTTCTTGTACTTCCATTTCCTAATATGTAAAATGTAACAAAATCTGCTCCACTATATTGCAGAATTTTTATGATAATCAAAATTATGTAATGTGAGTATTAATAAGTAACATACCAAGGTATAGAGTGGTATTCTTACATATGTTTAATTAAAAAGAGAATCAGGTGTTATGTTTGTCTTTTGATATTTGATTTTGTGTTAGCAGCAACATCCCAGGGGAGGTAGAGCTATCTTCACTGAAGCAAAATTTTCTCTAAAATTGATTTTTAGGCAAGGAAACTTGGAGCTGATTTAATTATTCTGCAGTGTTCTACTGCAAGTTGACCAGTAAGAACATCTTCGTTTCACTCATCAATGAAGCTCTCTACTGGATAGGAAGGCCGCCGTCCATCTCCAGCCATAGGTTTAATGAAGGTCAGTTTCCACTTCTCCCACCTCTGTGCTCCATAATGTTTCACAGCAGAAATATATGGTTTCTATCATAACATAATTCTCCTGGCACATTGAAAATAAAATGTTGACTCTATGTTGAAAATACAATTCCAAATTCATCTCTCTCCTGCAGGGAGAAAGTTTTAATCACTTCATATGAAGGTGTTAACGGTGTGAATAGATAACAAATTGACAACAATTTGCATATGCATTGGGAAATGAATTCCTCTGTGAAACATAATTTTTAAATTTGCCTACTGGCAATTTTTGCTTCTGTCAGGGAAATATTAATAGGTCTCACTGTATCTATATCCAAAGCGATAACCAGCAAAATAATAAAGAGGGGTGGGGTGAGGGAACTGGTGGGGGTGTGGCAGGTGATTAATACCCTGTTAACAGGATGACAGAATTGTCTTGTGCAATATTAACCACCCATAACACTATTTGGTCTGATAAAGACCAGCCCTGTGAATATTTAACTTTCACAATATTTGCTTTACTGATAGTGGGCCATTTTCATATATGAAATATAGCCTATTGCTTATTATTAATTAGACCTGAGTCGACCTTCAGGATTTAATATTCTTTCAACAATGATTTGTGTAATTTATTACATGGTAACATACATTCAAAATGTGAGAACATTAGGACTTAAAATATAGGCTTGGACAGAATCTTGATATAACATCTAACTAATTCATTTGACTATATATTGCAAATCTTTCACATTCTAAGTACTGAAGGGCATCCATGAACTATAAGATGCCTTCTATCCTCTTATGTACTGGAGCTCTACTTTCAGGGGAAAATGAAATGAATTCATAAGAACACAAGGCAGAGAGTTCTTTTCAAGCTCAGAGCAGAGGAAGAGTGATGTGGCCAGCAGACAAAGTTCTAGCAGAGGAAGAATCACTTCAAATGGCCATGGAAAGAAGGCGGGGGGGTGGGGAGAGGATTGGGCAGGCAGCACCTTGGCTAGCCAGAGAGCAGCAGAAGTCAGACAACACCTGCTAGCAAACGTGAGAACTTGGTCAACAGGTGTTTAGGTCAGCTGGCCTCCCAGCTGGTTTAGGCCCTTTCTGACTGGTGTGAGGTTGAAGTCCTGACTACTTTTTCAGAAATATTGATGGCTGAGGCAGGTGGCTGTCTCCTGGAGGGATATATTGCTTCTTTGATGTGGTGATTTTTTCAAAGGCCTCTGTGGTATGAACATAGGCTTGTCTTCTGTGACTCTCCTCAAAGCACCCCATGTTTTAATGAAACACAGTGCTTCCTGTTCCTGATGGCTGAAGTTTAGAAACTAATATATGAGTACAGGTAGAGAAAGATAAGCTAGCCAGGGAACCTGAGGCCACTATATCACATGGTGTCCTGACACTTAAGAGTTATGACTTTGATCATTAATGTTTTAGGAAAACATTGATGGGGTTAGGCTTTTACCAAGAGAAATGACATAATTGGATTTGCATTTTAAACAGACAACTGAGTACAATGGCAATATCTTATGGTTACTAAACACCAGAGTTCTGGGGCCAGACTCTCTGGGTTTGGATTCCTTCTCTAATCTTACTAGCTCTGACTTTATTCACATCTCTAAGGCTCAGTGACCTCATCTGTAGAATGAGGGTAAAAACTATTACCTGTCTTATAAATTTGTTGTGAGGATTAAATGAGTTAATGCATGTAGTATGCTTAGTTCAGTGGCTGGCACAAGAAAGAGAGAGCATTCAGTACCCATTGGCTGTTATTATCTTATCCCTCTGGAATAGTGCAAAAGATGGATGACTCTGATGGCAGCTTGAAGGAGGGGTCTGGAGACCAAAAGGAATCTATTTATGGCAATAGTTTAGGAGAGACATTGATTTATTGAATTAAGACAATGGCACAAGGATTGAGAAGGGTGAATGAAGTTGACAGTACAATGGACATAAAATCAACAAGATTTGGTGTCTGAGTCAATGTGAAGGGTGAAGAAGAGGGAGAAATCATGGATGGATTTAAGGGTTCTAGCCGTGGTCACTGCTGGGTTGTGGTGCCACTGACCGACATGCAAAACAGAGCTGGACAGAACTTGTTTGTGTCCCCCTCATAACCTCTGTGTGCAGCCTTACAGCTGAAGTGGGCATCGCCTGAGGGATTTTTCTGATGGCAAGGGGAAAGAAGGGAAGTGCTAGGGAATTAATGTCCTGGCAACAGCCCTCAAACATTTTCTAGCGGGATCGTTGGTTAAATACCTCAGTACCTTTGCACCCCAGGTGGCATTACTTGAGGTTTATAGTCTACTCTGAGTTTCCCGGTGTGATTCAGCTCCAGGTGGTAACTTGTTTGATAACTAAGCCTCTTTGGCTACCTTCCCTTCCTCATCTCACTGCTCCAATTCCCTAGTAGCCTCTTCTGGATCACCTTCCAAATAAACTATTTGCACTGGAATCTTTGCCTCAGGATTTGCCCCTGGAAGAAATGAAACTAAGAGAGTAGGGAAGGGGAAAGGAACAGAAGGAACAGGAAAATAATTTCAGTTTTAGGTATTTTAGTGGGAGATACCTGTGGGGCATTCAAGTGGAGATGGGCTGGAATGCACTGGAAGTAAGAAATACAATGGTGTTTTTCTGGAATTTAATAAACAGTTGGGCTCTGCTATTCTAGATTGGTGAATACACTGCAAAACAAGTGAGAGCTAAAACCTCAGGGATGACTTGTAACCTAAGAAGTTTAAAAAAGCCTGCTGGGCGTGGTGGGCAGTGGCTCATGCCTGTAATCCCAGCACTTTGGGAGGCTGAGGTGGGTGGATCACTTGAGCCCAGGAGTTTGAGACCAGCCTGGCCAACATGGTGAAACCCCGTCTTTACTAAAAATACAAAAATTAGCCAGGTATGGTGATACCTGCCTGTAGTCCCAGTTACTCGGGAGTCTGAGGCAGGAGAATCACCTGAACTGGGAGGTGGAGGATGCAGTGAGCTGAGATGGTGCCACTGCGCTCCAGCCTGAGTGACAGAGCAAGACTCTGAAAAAAAAAAAAAAAAAAAAAAGAAGTTTGAAAAAGACAAATGCCGTGTGCTGAGAAAGGTGACAATTGAACAAGAGGGTGTTGTTATTTAAGCCAGAAGACAAAAGTTTTCAGGAAGGCAAGGCTGATTTTTTTTTATAAAGTATAAATCCCTTTTTAGGGGAGACTATATTGGATCTTTGTAATAGCCAAGGTATTTCACACATAATAATACTAAATAATGTTTATTGAATAAATATCACTTTTCTCCATCCCACTGTGAGGATATAGAAGGAGCTGAGGGGCAAAATTAAGGGGTGAAGAGTAACTTAACAATTATTTTCATCTTACACAATCTTTTCTGTTCCCAGATTGATTAGTTCTCTGCCTATGTTTGCTACAAAATTGATTCATATTGTGAAGAAATGGGCTCTACCATGTTTCCTTCATGAGCAGTGTGTATTCTATATGAATCTACTCCCAGTGCAAGGAACACTAGTCAATTTTTGGCATGAGGTAAAGGAGAAAGGGGTAGAGTCTTAGAGCAGGTAGAGGGAGAATGGACAGGCTCCCCCACCCTCCCCATGCTACATAGCTCTGATCTTTGCCCACTCGCATCAACTACTATTGAGTCTCCAAAATTCTCCTTCTCTACTTTATCCCTGCTTCTTCGGTTGGAATGGGAAGTAGCAACATGATGTCATTGTGATATCATTACTTGAGGAAGAGATGCCTTTGGACGTTGGCTCTGGGTTTTAACATCACTTAATTTTTTACTTCTCTGTAGTTTGAGATGGTACAGAGGAGAAGGAGGATCTTTAAATTCATCACTTATTACATAGAGGAGGCAGATCTTTAAATTTGTCACTTATTACATAAGCTCTTCTGTATTACGATTTATTTCTAATCTGTAGTCAATGCTTCATTTGTTGTAGGTAGATTTAAATGCAATAATGTTTCTGAACATCTTAGAAAATTTTTACACTGTCCTTGGGAGTTATAATGGAATTTAACTTGTATGACCAAGTGCCATTTATATTAAGTTTATAAAGACAGAGCGAGTGCAAACACTTGTCTTGGGTTTAAGGCCTTTCTTGGTTTCCTGTGTTCCTTTAATACACTGCAATATTCTGCAAGATTGTCCGGCAAAACTTGCTTCATACTTTGCTAGAATGAAGAAAAAGTGGCTTCGTAGTTGTTTGCCATCAGGTCAGCCAATTTTACAAATTCTGGAAACTCATTGTTGTTTTAAAATTAATTTTGTCATTTAAAGAATAATTTCTGATCAACTCTGTACATTTTACTTCAGTGTTCAGCACCCCTAAGATTGTACTCAATGCCCCACTGCCTCCAGAAGTGTCTTTTCTACATTGTCTGCTGTTGTACTAAGTCAATTACCAAGTTGTCTTTTCTCATTTATATAAAGCCATTAAACCAATGTCCTGTCCTGTGCAGATACAATAAGCAGTCACTGACAGTTTTCCACTTAATTACATGCTTCACTGGGTGCTTCTTGATTGGAAATGTTTTCTCATAATTTCCACTGTTTTATGCTCATGATCTCATCCTGTAACATAAGGGATGATAAAAGAAGATCTGATTCAACAAGATGACTTCTCTGGGTAGTAGCTGTACTTGTCACTCCAGTGAAATACTTAACATCCTTGCCCTTTACTTTCGGGCCAGGATGTCAGATCTGGATTCTCCCCTGTAGGTTACCGAATCTTCTATTTTTCCAGGAGGGATTACTCAGCCCTTGGGTTATGACTTCTGTGAAAGTCGTTCTTTAGAAGCCAAACATCTGCTTCAATTGGCCTTTTCTGATGTTTAGGAAAAGCAAAGTGGCAGTGACATTTCTATTCAGGATTTGTTTTTTCAATTTCCTGACCTCCTGGTCACTGGAGCATTAAGTAGTGCGCTCCTACAAGCTTTATGACACATCAGGAATCTCCCAAACAGTTTTTAAAAAAAGAATCACAGAAATATCTTTGCTCAACTAATGTGCTATTTATTGGACCCAGAAACAATTTTAGCTACAGTTGGTCCAATAGATGCTTTGAAATGAAGGTTTTGTTTGAATTCTTGTATGACTGAACTCTTAGACCTTGACCTTTTGACCCGATAGTCATGTTATCACCATGGAGTGATAAACATGAGCAGCCAGTTTGCCCTCGTGAGGAAGAAACTATCTGTTGGGCTCAGCATTCGCTTTTTGCCTCCCAAATTCTTTCTCCATAAGAGCTGGATAAAATAGCATATATATTTATTTCATTTGAAGTGTTAGGTCTGTTAAAATACAATCACTCTAAGAAGAAGTAACAACTTAGGACTCATTTTATTAATCACTAATTTGTTAATCATGTATATAATGCCATCTGTGTAAAAATGTTAGAACTCAGAGGAACCTCAGAGAATTACGTTGTTCAAATTTTCTTCTTTTGCAAACAAAGAAAATGAGGCACAGAGGTGAAGTGACTTCTCTTGATGTTGACTCTTTCTATTAGAACTGGCGTCAGAACACAGATTGTAAGAAGCTTAGTCAAGTGGCGTTTTGATTATACCCAGCTTGTGAGGTTCTTTCATGAGAGTAAGTTTTAACAGAAAGGGTACAATCCTAAAGGTGCTAGGGAAAGAAAAGAAGCTCAACCTGAGGAGCAAAGGAGGCTGGAGAAGGGAAGGCTGCGATTATTACTATAACAATTTTTTGCGGGGGGCTCGGTTGATAGGGCAGAGTGCTCTTGAGTCTGTTTGTAACCTTGGAAGTATCTGATATTGTCTCAAATGCCTCAAGCTCAAAAGTATTTGGTTGTTTTTTTAAAGATAGAACCATTTCTTTTTCTTCCTTTTTTTCTCAATTGGATGTTCAAAATTTCCTAAAATAATTTATATATCAAAATAGATAAAATGTTTTGTGCTTCTACAACATAGAAGACTGCATTGTGTCTAATCAAGTCTCCTGGACTTTGGGTAATGTGGGGAATAGGGAGTAGTCTGGGTGAAGTCAGGGAAGGAGCAATTAGGTTTAGTCACAGTAATGAGTAAGTAAAGAGGAACCTGAGCTTGTTCTTAAAGGCCAGGAAGAATTGGGCAGATTAAGAAGAGCTGACAGAATCAAGGTGCTCATTAAAGTCACGCATTTAGAAATGAGCCTTGGCTCTCTCACTACTAACCAGAGTCTTGGAGGTTAGTGGGAGAGGGGCTTGGTGAGTGTGAGTGGACCTTGACTGGGAACCTCGTAAGGTGCCCCACTGTAACTAAAATCAATTCCACAGTAGGTTCCTAAATAGAGAATGGCTTTGAGAATGTAGCACTGTAGGAAGTTCAGTCAGATATTCTAGATGGATTGGACCGAGTGGAAGCAATGAGAAGAGGATGCTAGAATACCCAAGACAGGAGGTGATAACCTAGCGTCCCTGTGAGGGGGAGGAACGAATCTGTGAGAGAAACCTAAAAAAAGCATGGATTGTCCTCAGGACTGATTTCATGCAGGAGAACGTGGGACGCACAACTTCAAGTTTTCAAGTTGGGGAGAAGACTGATGTCAGTGATGAATCTTATAAACGTTGGATAAAAATATAACAGCAGACGGTGGAAAGTTGAATCTTAGGGATGAAGGGAAGGGAAAAGTTAACTGTGATGAGTGTGGCTCTTTCTCAACTTTGGTGTTCACCCTCTGATTTGTTTGTCATCCTTTCTGGCTGGGCTGGGATCATGTTGGGAGTTGAGGACCATATTCCATTTCTCTATTCCCAGCACACATCATGGAGGCACATATTAGGAAACCTGGGTACCTAGGGGAATGGTAATATTATAAACAAAAAGTGGGGGCTTTAGATGGGAAAGGAATAAAATGTAGAAATTCTATGTTTATGGAAATGGCAGGAACCTCATACAGGAATGTCTTAGCTATGGTTGGAAATACTGAATCTTGAGTAATGTCAAGCCCAGTGATAATTATGATTGACTGAATGGAATTTAGGATTGAAGTTTGAAGACTGGATGAAATCTCTGAGAATGGAGAGTTAGGGAGGGAAGGGTGGAAGGTTTGAATATAAACTGTCAGCTCCCACAGGAATGCTGTCTGAAAAAAAAGAAACTACTATATATGTAAATCTATTGTTTACTATTGAGTTTAGGAACTTATGTTTGCCTAGCAAGTTTGAATGATCCTCTAATTTCTTTGATATATATTTTTTCTTCATGTCTCTTTTCAAAAAGCAAAGGATAGCATCTCAGCTAGGTCAAGAGGGGGAAGAGAAAGACCAAGAAACTTAGTTCCATGCTGTCCTTAGTGAGGTCTATAAATCTTGAGGCATCAGTACTCAGGGGAGGACTTGGAGATTAATGAAAAGATAATGAAAGTGGTAAATATCCAAAAGCTAAGGAAATAAAACAAAATTGCACAAGAAACCTTCAGAGTCAAAGTTATGTGGAGTTACCTATAAAGGACAGAATTTTTATTATTATTTTTTATTAATAATATATGAAGAAAGAGCAAGGCCAACAGAACATGAGAGTGGATTATGGGAAAATGTGGTTGGAATGTCTAGGAGATAAAATTATCTTTTCATTACCGCATTTAAAAAAGATGAGCATTTCCAAGGCTGAATTATGTTCTGTTTTTCTAGGGAATTATATTGTTAAATGCCCATTATAGCTTATTTCTTGATATTAATGTACTTGCTAGGCCTGGTGGATCATGGCTGAGGACTTGGCCACACAAATCAAAAAGTATTCAGAAAGGGTGGGGTTGCCTTGCGCTCTACAAGTGTCTTTCAAAACCATGCGCTTCTGATTCACCTGGAGCCCAGACCCCTTCCCAGGTCTGTGGTGACATGACCAGAATGAGAAGTGAGGGCCAATGGAATGGTGAGAAATGTGGCCGGGGGCATAGCAGTGACCAGATCATGTAGTTCTTCGCTGTGAACCTTTTTAAAGGAGTTTGGAATTTCCTAAGCAAGTAATGTGATCCAGCCTCTGTTTTAGAAGATTTCAGTCTCTGGCTGGCTCAAGTATGGTCATTGAATTAGTACAAACAGTGGTGGAACGGAGACAAGTAATATAGAAAATAGAACTAACATGGAGGCAGTGAGGATGGAGAGAAGTGGGCAGATTTAGGAGCTGTATAGAATCACAGGGGTGGGTGAAGGGTTGGGTGTGAAATGGGAGTCAAGAGCAATTCCAATTCCTAGACCTCTCTTGGCCTTGAGCAGGTGGTTAGGTGGTGGTGCTGTTTAAAAATTTTGGGCAAAATACACATAACAAAATTGACGATCTTAACCATTTCAGTATAGTGAAATATAATTCAGTAGTATTTCAGTACATTCACATTGTTGTGCAACCAATCTCCAGAACTCTTTTCATCTTGCAAAACTGAAACTCTGTACCCATCAAACAACAACTTCCCATTCCCTGCTCCTCCTATCCTATCCACCATTCCTCATTCTGTTTTTTTGAATTTGTTTAATCTAGGTTCTTTGTATAAGTGAAATCATACAGTACTTGTCTTTTTGTGACTGGCTTATTTTAGTCTGCACGATGTCCTCAAGATTCATTCATGTTGTAGCATGTGTCAGAATGTCCTTCCTTTTTGAAGTGGAAACGTATTTCGTTATTTGTGTATTCCACATTTTGTTTATCCATTCATGCATTGATGGACACTTGCTTTCTTCTACCTTTTAGACACGGTGAATATAACTTCTATGGTCATGGGTGTATAAATACCTCTTTGAGATGTGGCTTTCAATTCCCAGAAGTGGAGTTGCTGGATAATATGGGAATCCTATTTTAAATTTATTGAGGAACTACTATATTGTTTTCAATAGCAGCTGCATCATGTTACATTTCTACCAACAGTGCTCAAGAGTTCCAATTTCTCCACATCTTCACCAACACTATTTTTTTCTATTATCTTTCTTTTCTCTTTTTTTAAATAATAGTAGCTATCCTAATGAGTGTGAAATGCTATCTCATTGTAGTTCTGGGATGTTTCTATTTTTGGAGTTTGATGTCTTGTAAAAGATATGAGTAATACATAGGTGATAATTAAATTAATTCTTATTAAATAAGTTTTTATTAAATGATTGTATTAAACTAATATATTAATAAATATATTAAATAAATTAATTTAAAAATTGCTCTGTGAAGTTGAAATAATAAGAGAGAAGGCAAAAGGGTAATGACATAGCTTTTAAATCTCCTTGAATTCCACTCAAAAGTGGGCAATAAAGGTAGATAACAAAACCACTACTACCACCACCAATAACAAAAAATATGGAAACCTCTACAAAAATAAGAGGAGTGAGATACCCCATGAATTCAAAAATACAAAAAGCAAACCAATAATAGCAACAAGAAGGATGCTGTCTAAACAACTGTGTTGGAGAAAGTGGGGTAGGCAGAGGGAGAGCCAACAAAGTCAAAAATAAACAGGCTCCCTTTCAATGAGGGGAGTGCAACTGGCTTTTCTGAGAACAGTATCAAAAACTGGGAGGGGGCTTTGTTGTACTAATGTCCCAGCGAGTGTGAGGGGGCTAAAGGAAGGATACATGCTTAAGAAGTTATGGGGAGTTTCGGGTCCTAGGAACTCTCAAAATTAACAGACAAAAGTGTCCTTTCTGGACATAGACCTTCGCTGAAGACCAACTGTTGGGAGTAGGATCCAGATTGAGCAGTGCATGGGTTCTAGGAGCAGAGGAAAGACAAAATCTAGGAAAAGAATAAGGAAAAGGGACAGAGGAGCAGTGAGTATGAGAACCTATTTGCTGACATTCTTAACAGCAACACAAAAGAAAGCCCTAGAGTCATGAAGGCATGAAAGTCACCCTAAGCCCCCACTGACCTAGCACATAGAAACACCTAAAAGGACAGGGGGACCCATCTCACTTAAAGATGAAGCCACAGCAGAAGACATGAGTCACATCCCACACAGATTCATTACAAGATAAAGAGAATATGGAAGCAGAGCAACATTTTTATAGCAATCAGGTAAAAACCATTAACTAGTGTTTCAAAAACCATCTCAAAGAAATATAAATATTTTTAGAAACTATGAAGAACATCATAAATTAGAAAAACTAAGTGACAAAATGATTGGATGAAAGGAAGATTTGAAAGGAGAACTGGCCACACTAAAAATATAACAAAGGGGAAAAAACCCATTTTAGAACTAGACACTACTTAGAAGGAATTGCAGATAACAGCGTGGATACTATGAGACCAATAGATAATGGAAAGCAGAAAAATAGAAAAGATTAAACATTTGAAAACAAAAATAAAATGACTTCAAAGAAAGTTACAGGTATATAAGGTAGACAAAAATATATAATATATTTGAGTCCCCACAAAGAAAAGCAATGTGACAAAATAATACTAAGAGCTATGTTTCAAGAATAGTTTCCTGAAGTAAAAAAGGTCTTGAAGCAACTCTATGTTTATAAGAAAATTGTCTCAGAACAGCTGACACTGACACATATTCTAATAAACCAAGTAGGCGAATCAGAAAAAGAAAAAAAACTTAAAGTTTTTGGCCAGGTGCGGTGTCTCACATCTCTAATCCCAGCACTTTGGGAGGCCAAGGTGGGTGGATCACAAGGTCAGGAGTTTGAGGCCAGCCTGGCCAAGATGGTGAAACCCTGTCTCTACTAAAAACACAAAAATTAGCTGGGCATGGTGGCGCAGCTGTAGTTCCAGTTACTCGGGAGGCTGAGGCAGAAGAATTGCTGGATTGGGGATATGGAGGTTGCAGTGAGCCAAGATCACACCACTGCACTTCAGCCTGGGTGACAGCGAGATTTGGTCTCAAAAAAAAAAAAAAAGAATTCGAAGAAAAAAACAAACTGAGTTTTCAGGTGAAACATTCAGGTCACTTATAAGAGGAAAAAAGTCATAGTTAAAACAACTTTTTTTTTTTTTTTAAACAGCAATGGTTTATGCTAAAATAGTAACACCTACTAAAGTAAAAAAAAAATGTAAGTTTTATATCCTGTCAAACTGACTGTCAAGCATAAAGGTGCTCTTATGAACATGCTCAAGAGGATATTGTTTCTAACATTCCTTCCTGAGAAATCTTCAAACAACAAAAGTGACTACAAAGTATTGACTATTTATCTATGAGCACTGAATATACATTTACTTGTAAAACTGAGGCTAAATGACAGATGTAAGGGAAACAGTATAGTACATGACAACTGTGTTCTGACACTGTAGATAAAAATGACTCTGAAAAATGGCAGGAGAGGAATGGGGCACATTTATAAAATATAATATAAACTCTCTGGTGGGCTTATTGGTAATAAAGTAAAATGTTACTTAAAATTTGATGTTAGGGGAGAGGAAGAGGAAGAGATACAAAAGATAACTAGCTATTTTCAGTGTTGTTCATAGTAGGGAACAAACAGAAAGCTCCTGAAAATGAGGAGACTACAATGAACATTCATGTGCATGTGTCTTTATGGTAGAGTAATTTATATTCCTCTGGGTATATACCCAATAATAGGATTGCTGGGCTGAATGGTAGTTCTGCTTTTAGCTCTTTGAGGAATTGCCACACTGCTTTCCACAATGGTTGAACTAATTTACACTCCCACCAACAGTGTATGTGTTTCCTTTTCTCCACAACCTCCCCAGTATCTATTATTTTTTGACTTTTTAATAATAGTCATTCTGACTGGCGTGAGATGGTATCTTATTGTGGTTTTGATTTGCATTTCTCTAATGATCAGTGATATGGAGCTTTTTTTCATATGCTTGTTAGCTGCATGAATGTTTTCTTTTGAAAAATATCTGTTCATATCCTCTGCCCACTTTTTAATGAGGTTATTTTTCTCTTGTAAATTTGTTTAAGTTCCTTATAGACAGTGGATATTAAACTTTTGTCAGATGCATAGTTTGCAAATATTTTTCTCTCATTCTGTCTTATCCATCAATGACAGAGTGGATAAAGCAAATGCAGTACATACACACAATGGAATACTATGCAGCCATAAAAAAGAACAAGGCATGTCTTTTGCAGGAGCATAGATGGAGCTGGATGCTCTTATCCTTAGCAAGCTAATGCAGGAACAGAAAACCAAATATTGCATGTTCTTACTTAGAAGTGGGAGCTAAATGATGAGAACTTATGCATGCAAAGAAGAGAACAACAGACACTGGGGTCTATGTTACAGGAAGTCAGGGACCCCAAATGGAGGGAGCAGCTGGAGCTGTGGCAGAGGAACATAAACTGTGAAGATTTCATCTTAAAATGGACATTTATCAGTTCTCAAATAATACTTCTATAATTTCTTATGCCTGTCTTTAATCTCTTACTCCTGTTATCTTCGTAAACTGAGGATATACTTCACCTCAGGACCACTGTTGATAATTGTATTAACTGTACAAATTGATTGTAAAACATGTGTGTTTGAACAATATGAAATCAGTGCACCTTGAAAAAGAACAGAATAATAGCGATTTTTATGGAATAAGGGAAGACAGCCATAAGGTCTGACTGCCTACAAGGTTGGGCAAAAAGAGCCATATTTTTCTTCTTGCAGAGAGCCTATAAACAGACATGCAAGTAGGAAACATATCGCTAAATTCTTTTCCTAGCAAGGAATATTAAGATTAATACCCTGAGAAAAGAATGCGTTCCTGGGGGGAGGTCTATAAACGGCCACTCTGGGAATGTCTGTCTTGTGCAGTTGAGATAAGGACTGAGATAAGCCCTGGTCTCTTGCAGAACCCTCAGGCTTACTAGGATTGGGAAAACTCAGCCCTGGTAAATTTGTGGTCAGACTGGTTCTCTGTTCTCGAACCCTGTTTTCTGTTGTTTAAGATGTTTACCAAGACAATACATGCACCACTGAACAAAGACCCTTATCAGTGGTTCTGCTTCTGCCCTGTGCCCTGTCGTCTTTCTTGAACCCTTATCAGTGGTTCTTCTTTTTGCTCATTGAAGCATGTGATCTTTGTACCTACTACTCTGTTCTTACACCCCCTCCCCTTTTGAAACCTTTAATAAAAACCTGCTGGTCTGAGACTCAGGTGGGCATCATGGTCCTACTGATATGTGATGTCATCCCTGGCGGCCCAGCTTTTAAATTCCTCTCTTTATACTGTCTCTCTTTATTTCTCAGCTGGCTGACACTTATGGAAAATAGAACCTACGTTGAAATACTGGGGGCGGGTTCCCCCAGTAGGTCTACTCGAGGGTGTAGGGTGGGAAGAGGAAGAGGGGAAGAAAAGATAACTATTGGGTACTTGGCTTAATATCTGGGTGCTAAAATAATCTGTACAACAAACCGCCATGACACAAGTTTACCTATGTAGCAAACCTTCACATGTACCCCTGAACCTAAATTTTTTAAAAAAGCAGACAAATGAAATTATATATATTTTTATGCATTTTCTTGTAGGAAATAATGCCTTTTTCTTATCTAACTTTGCTCTGGAAGCAGCAATAACAAGAGTGATCTGGACTGGAGGATCAGTATCCCCTTTCCTCCCTAGTTTATAGTACATATTGAATGTTTCCCTGTGCCTTAATTTGGTTTGGTTAGTTGGTACATGGAATAATGTCTCTTACTCCAAAAGATATTTGTGTCCTAATTCCTGGGACCTGTGAATATTTTAGGCTACATGACATAGAGTTAAGGTTGCTAATCAGCTGACTTTAAAATAGGGAGATTATCTAGGATTATCCACGTAGACCCCAGGTAATTACAAGGATTCTTAAAAGGGGAAGATCAGAGGTAGAAAAGAACAGAGATATGGCAATCCGAGAAAGACCTGGCCCGAAGTTGCTGGCTTTGAAGATGGAAGAAGAGGACTATGAGCCAATGAACAAGGGCAGCCTTAAAACATGGAAAGGGAAAAAAATGGATTCCCCCTAGAGGCACTTGAAGAAGTGCAGCCTTAACAACATTTGCAGTTCAGCCTAGTGAGACCCATTTTGGACTTCTTAATTACAGAACTGTAAGATAGCAAAGTTGTGTTGCTCCAACATTCCAGCAGTCATAGAAAATGGATATAGTTAGTTTGAATATAAATTCATCTTCACGGGGTTTATGATGAATATTGGTGGATTGGTGTTCAAAATCCATTCTAACCTCCATCTAGTGCAGCGCAGTGGATAGCAAAATATTTTGGCCTTAGTCCATGTGGCCTATATGATCATTTCATTTCATAATCTAGTTACACACAGACACACGCACACCTGAAATAAAAAGCTTTACAAAACAATCCTCCTTTGCTATGTAGGATACAATGATCCATTCTATTCTATTTCCTTAAAAATCAATTGATTTCATGGCTCATTAAATAAATTGATTTTATGAAATTCAAGTAATTTGCAATGTAGGAGTTGAAAAATGCTCTTCTAATATGCATTCCTGCCTGGTAAAATATATTAGAATGCTAAAATTTTCATTTCCTTGACTCTCTTGATTTAAGGTTCCAGCTATGATTAGATTAGACCAATCAAATGCACTTGCATGAAATTAGAGGCCACATTTCAATATTTTTTCTATACTTTTGGAAAATAAAGTGCTTAGGAAGCACTAAGTTTTCTTAGGTAGAATTCTTACGACTAATTACTAGTTTTATAGCCATTGAGAAGTAGGGCTTAGAGTGTAGCTAAGTTGGTTCCTAAAGTCAAATTTCCAGTGGCAGCTTCCTAATTGCCCTGCTTCTTGATTGTATCAAGGGAAACAATTCCCCTTGAAGGTCAGTTCTGAAGTGGTTTTATGAGAATCATTCTAAACCCAACCTAGACCTACTCCTCTAACTCTACCAGTGATATTGTAAGCATTCAAATATGGTTTTAAAGAATGTTCTTCTGAAAGTGGTTTCTGTCTTCTGCAAATCAACCCTGACTGTACAGTGTTACAACTCTTTAAGTATAATCAAGCAAGAAGATCAAAGGAAACAATCAACAAAGTGAAAAAGCAACTCACAGAATGGGAAAATGTTTGAAACCATATATCTGATGAGGATTTAAATTCAAAACATATAAGGAGTTCATACTAGTGAGTTCAATAGTAAAAAAACAAATAACTGGATTTTAAAAATGGGCAAAGGACCTAAATGAACATTTTCCCAGTGAAGACATACAAATAACCAACAGTATATGAAAAGGTGCTTCACATCACTAACCATCAGGAAAATACAAATCAAAACCACAATGAACTACCTATACCTGCTAGGATGGCTATTATCCAAAAGCCAAAAAAGTGCTAGTGAGGGTGTAGAGAAAAAGAATACATTGTTGCTGGGAATATTAATTGTTACATTCACTAAGGAAAACACTATGAAATCTCCTTAAAAAATTAGAAATAGAACTAACATATGATTCAGCAATCCCACTTCTGAGTATCTATCAAAGGAAATGAAATCAGTATGTCAAAGAACTTTCTATCTATCTGCACTTTCATGTTCACTGAAGCATTATTTATAGTAACCAAGATATGGATGATGAGTGGATAAAGAAAATGCAACACACACACACACACACACACACACACACACACACACACACGACTATACACATCATAAACCCTGGAATGATGTTCAGCCTAAAAAAATAAAGAAATTCTGCTATTTGTGACAACATGGATAAACCTGAAGGATGTTATACTAAGTGGAAGAAGCCAGGCACAGAAAGACAAATACTGCATAATCTCACTGATATTTGGAATCTAAAAAAAGCCAACTCATGGAAACAGAGTAGAATGGTGGTTACTCAGGGTTGAGGGGTGGGGAAATAGGGAGATATGGGTCAAATGGTATAAACTTCTAGTTGCAAGATCAATAAATTATAGACCAATAAATATAGATCAACTAAGATCAATAAATATACAGTAGAGTGACCATATTTAATAATATTGTATTGCATACCTGAAACATACTAAGAGAGTAGATCTAGAGAGTAGATCTTAAGTATTCTCACCACAAAAAATAAAGGTAACCATGTGAGGTGATGGTATGTTAATTAGTTTGATTGTCGAAATCATTTCATAAGTTATATGTATATCAAAACATCATGTTGTCCACCTTGAATATACACAATTTCTATTTGTCAGTTGTACTTCAATAAAGCTGAATTTATTTATTTATTTATTTAGTTAGTTAGTTATTGAGACAGAGTCTCGCTCTGTTGCCCAGGCTAGATTGCCGTGGTGAGATCTCAGCTCACTGCAATCTCTGCCTCCCAGGTTCAAGCAATTCTCCTGGCTCAGCCTCCTGAGTAGTTGGCATTACAGGCACATGCCACCACGCCTGGGTAATTTTTGTATTTTTAACAGAGATGGGGTTTCACCATGTTGGCCAGGCTGGGCTTGAACTCCTGACCTCAGGTGATCCACCTGCCTCGGCCTCCCAAAGTGCTGGGATTACAGGTGTGAGACACTGCTCCTGGCCTTGAATTCTTTTTAAAGATGTGGGAAAATTCCATCTACAAATTCTGAGTGTGCCTGGGCCTGAGGTTGTCATGAGGCACAGTCATTCTCAGAGATGCAGTCTTCGTCTTTCGAGCAACTCTGACTTTGTGTGACTGTAGAGGTTTTGGAAGTGACACTGCCCTTAATAGTCTTCATTCCTTTGTTGAGGACCTAAAATCACAGCTGTTAGTTACAGGCCATTAAAAGTGGGTACTATGTATGATATATTTGTTTGAATATATCTAGGATATATATTTTCAATTTTGGGATGATTTCTTTTGCATTCTTTAGTCTTTGAGAATTTTAAGGAACAAAGAATTTTAAAAGCACAGGTTGGCTTGATGTGCAAGCATACATACATATGTATATTCATATTAAGGGAAAATATGAATAACATTTAACTACTGGTATGACCCAGGCACTGACTAATTCAGAACCAAGAGAATGGATGCTAGCCATACACAATCTAGGTGGCAGAGCTGGCACCCCACAGGCTATTAGCCTTGTTTATTAGTAATATTTTGCTAGTCCAGAAAGAATTAAGTTTGTTTACAAAAATTCAAAAAGATAAAATAACTGTAAACATGAAAAGGTAGGCCGGGCATGGTGGCTCATGCCTGTAATCCCAGCACTTTGGGAGGCCGAAGCAGGAGAATCTTTTGAGCCCAGGAGTTTGAGACTAGACTGGGCAACGGAGTGAGACCTCATCTCTACAAAAATAAAAATTAAAAAAAATTAGCCAGGTGTGGTGGTGCATGCCTGTAGTCCCATCTACTTGGGAGGCTGAAGTGGGAGGCTCACTTGAGCCCAGGAGGTTGAGGATTCAGTCAACTGTGATCACGCCTCTGCATTCAAGCCTGGGAGACAGAGTGAGACCCTGTCTCAAAAAAAAAGTTTAAAAAATTTTGCCAAAGGAAAGTAGAAAATAGGAAAGGCAAGATGAAGCCAGTGGAGAAATGAACATTTAAAATACACCTTGCATGGTCTTAGGCACTTTTTAGGGACAGAAGGAAAAGGTGCTTCCCATCATGCTCCACCAGGGGGCACTGAACTTGTGACAGTTTATCCTTTTTTCGCTTTTGAAGTCACTCACATTCTCAATAATACACATGACCAGCTAGATGCTAACCATGCATTGGCTAAATTAATACCTTCAATCTTTAGAAAAACAGAGCATTTTTTTTAGTTGCCAACACAATATTTCCTGTATGCCTTTTCCCCAGAGGGCAGAGGGAAGAATAGATGAGAAACAGTTCCTCTGAACTGATAGAGCATGTGTGAGTTCAGCCTAATGTCATTATGTCAGATTGGATCTGAGTTACAGTGACCACTTAGACATCATGCAATTTGGTGATAAAAGAAAGGTCTGTTTTTCAGCTGTGGTCTCTTAACTAGCTACAAATGATCACCAGGCTGACTGCTTCATGTACTCTTTCTCTCATCATCCTACTACACAGATTTGCTTTGTGGAATTTTATTGACTCTATATTCTTTGAAGTACTTTGCTTGACATACTTGCTGAGGGGAAAATGTTCTAACAAGTGAATGAAGCCTTAGTAGCCTAATATTAGTACCTCTAAATCGACAGCTCTGAAGAATATATAAAAAATTAATGCACGAAGGACACTGCCTGGCATGTAAGTGCTATAAAAGTAATTGCTTCTATGCTGATCGAAAGAAGCAATTAGAAATACAGTCAGCCCTCCATCCTGGCTAATACGGTGAAACCCTGTCTCTACTAAAAATATAAAATATTAGCCAGGCATGGTGGCAGGCACCTGTAGTCCCAGCTACTTGGGAGGCCTCTGAGGCAGGAGAATCACTTGAACCCGGGAGGTGGAGGTTGCAGTGAGCTGAGATCGCGCTACTGCACTCCAGCTTGGGCGACAGAGCGACTCCATCTCAAAATAAATAAATAAATAAATAAATAAATAAATAAATAAATAAATACAGTCAGCCCTTCATATCCATGTGTTCTGCATTTGTGTGTTTACCTAACCACGGGCTGAAAATATTTGAGAAAAATATGCATCATACTGAACATGTATGGATTTTTTTCTTGTTATTATTTCCTAAACAATACAGTATAACTATTTACATAACATTTACATTGTACTAGGTATTATAAATAATCTAGAGATGATTTAAAGTATATGAGAGAATGTACGTAGGTTATATTGAAATACTATGCCATTTTATATCAGGGACTTGAACGTCTACAGATTTTGGTATCTGAGGGAGGTCGTGGAACCAATCCCCCATGGATATTAGGGATGACTGTACTTCCCATTCTCCAGATTAGTCCTCATATTCAAGCCTCAAATAATTAAAGAGATAGAATCACCTACAATTTCAGCAAAATCATTAAAGTTGTTTTTTGTTTTGAAAGAAATGTCAAAAAACAGCAAGACTTCAAGTCTGTTAACTGTTAGTGTTCCAAGTGGTTGAAATAAGAGGATTTATGGAGCCTTAGGGTTTCAGCCTGAAGCCAGAGATTAATGCCAAATGCTTTTCTTTAACTGATATTTTTCTTCAGGCAAAGTCATCCTTGAGGCTACTGGAAAGTCATGGCAATTGAAATACAGAAAGGTGTATATATGTAGGAGTCTCCCAAATAGAAGACTTCATGGTAAAATTTGGCAAATAATGACTTAAATCCTCTTGAGAACATCTGAGTGAAATTGATGCTTATAAGCCATTTTTAAAAATTAATAACGATAAATAATAGCAACAGCCAACATTTATTGAACACTCAATTTTGTGTCAGGTGCTGTTCTAAATACTTAAAATCTGTTGCATTATATAAACCTCACAATTACCTTACGAGGTAGGTAGAGGTTTTACAGGTGATGAAACTGAATATTTACAGAGAGGTTAAGTAATTTGCCAGAAGTCTAACATGCAGTGTGTGGTACAGCCAATTTCAAACCCAGACCATCTGACTCTATAACCCTTTATAATTTCTATACATCATGCCTTCATACACCCATACAGATGAAGACATATGAATCAAACAGCTCCCCACTTTGGCTTCTTGGCTGACTCAATGGCTCATGATAATTAGATGGTGTATGAAACCTACTTACTATAATCAGAATTGGTAGGTTAATCTAAGAAGTCCATGGGTGTGGAAGAATCATGATAAATGACAAATATATTTAATTAGATTCTTTTGATGTCCTTGAGGACAACTTTCACACAAAATAAATATTATTTAGAGTTATACTGGATTTTAAAATTAATCTTTGACTCATTAAAGTAATAACTATCCATAATAGTTTTTTTCTTAAAAGTTTCCATTTAGCTTAAAATATTCTGACTTTACATATAAATGTAGGAAATGTCAACAATTACTTCTAAGAAAAGCTTTATAACTTCTTAGACCTAACTTATACATTACAATTATCCTAAGCATTTAAAAATATCATTAATAAATTCCTTTTAAGAATTTTGAGGCTGGGCACAGTGGTGCATGCCTGTAATCCTAGCAGTCTGGGAGGCCAAGGCAGGAGGATTGCTTGAACCCAGGAGTTTAAGATCAGCCTGGGCAACATAGGAAGGCCTCCATCTCTCCAAAAAAAAAAAAAAAAAAAAATTAGCCAGGCATGGTGGTGCATGACTGTGGTCTCAGCTACTCAGGAGGCTGTGGTTAGGAGGATTGCTTGAGCCTGGGAAGTCAAGGTTGCAGTGAGTCGTGATCGCGCCACTGCACTCCAGCCTGGGAAGACCCCATCTTGAAGAAGAAAAAAATGATTTTGACAAAATTCTTCAAGTATTTAAATAACTCTCATTGTCTAATGGAATAAAGTATAAATATAGTAAATTTTGAGTTCTCACAATACTACAGTAGTATTTATGAACTTAAAAATTTTTATATGTTTATATTAAAAATCAGACTGATACATTTTTAAAACTAAAATGTGCAAGATGGAAACTATGCATCAAATTTTCTCAATAAAAAAATGAACTATACACAATTATTACGAGTATAATTAACTTCAATACCTCTAATCTTAATTATAAATTTCCTCAGTTTAAAGTCACTTATTCCCAACAGATAGTTTTATCACCTCAAGAATTTAGAATTTCTTTCCCAGGTAAACTTGGGGTTATCTTCTCAGCCAAATGAGGTTCATATTTGTCAAAGATTTGGGAGTACTGTGAAGTCTGCAGCTGTAGGAACCCAGGTGTTTTTTTGAATAGAGGTAGAATTCTTTTTATATTGACTATGCTCGTGAGGACCTCAAATCTATTCCTCCAAGTGAGTCCCTGGGATGTAAGTTACACATTCCCTCATTCTCAAAGCTGATTTATATCGACAAACTTCACCTAAGTTGCTTCATTATTTGATTAAACCAACGAATTTATTGACTGTTTGATACTGTTATTCTTTTCAGATTTTTCCTATATATCAACACAACAACACTTGCAGATATTTATGTGATAACCCATCTCATTCTGAATATCTCTTAAGTCTTTTGGTAAATTATCAAGTGAAGTTAAGGACATACATCTGTTTTATTTTAATTTAAAATATATCAATGTACAAGTATTTGCCAAAAAGCATGGGCTTTTCTTTGAATAAGGATATACTAAAAGAGTTTGTCCTTCTTGCATAAACCATAACAATGGTGCATTCTTTGTGATATTCTTTTGGAATAAGGACTTAAAAACACTTGTGAGGCAATCTGAGTTCAAGATCACTCCAGATCGTTGCAATTTCCCATCCGCATGTTTTACAACAGTTTTTCAATTTTTTTAAGTGGTTTGCTTTTATCATGTCTTTCCAAGGCATTTCAAACTTAGTTTTCCTATAAGCAATGTTTTTCTTTTTATTATCCTATTCAAGAAGTGTATATAATATTTTATCAAATTAAATAATTACAAATAAAAATCAGTAACACAACTGACTCCAGATGGTCATACATGCTAACTTACAGGAGGAGTAATGTACATGTGTATTATCAGAGAAAAGCCTTTAAGCTATGAGCACTTAATGTCTTTTGTAGAGGAAATGGAAAAATATTAACTCAAGAAGAAACAGAAAATCTGAATAACAAGTAAAGAAATTGAATTATTAATTAAAAATCCTTCCACAAAGAAAACCCCAGGCCTGGAGGCTTCACTGTTTAATTTTATCAAATATTTCATACAAAATAATGCCAATCCTCACAAACATTTTTAGAAAATAGAGGAGGAGGCAATACTAATTAATACATTCTATGAGGTCATTACAACTGCAATATCAAAGCCAAAGAAATTGTAAGAAATGAAAACTACAGACCAATATCTCTCATGAATATAGACAAAAATGTTCTTAATACATTATTAACAAATAGAATTCAGCAACATATAGAAAGGCTAATATACCGTGACCAAGTGGGATTTAGTCTAGGAATTCAGGGTTGGTTTAACATTTGAAAAAATCAGTTAGTTTAATGTACCGTATTATAGGAATAAAGCACAAAACCATATGGTGATCTCAACAGACTTAGGAAAAGCATTTGACCAAATCTAATGCCTATTCATAATAAAAACTCTTGAAAAACTGGCAATAGAGGAGAACTTTCCCCATTGGATAAAGGGTACTTATATGTTTAATAGTGAAAGACTAAAATCATTTTCCCAATTGGAAAGAAGAAAGTAAATGAGTCCTTTTAATAAGATATTAAGATACTATTAGAAGATGTGATATTGTATGTATAACATTCGAAAGAAGCCAAAACTACTAGAGCTAATAATCATGTTTACAAAGGTTGTAGGATAGATTAATATACAAAATTAATTGTATTTCTACATACTTCCCAAATTGATCTATATATTGAATGCAATCCCTATAAAAATCACAACAGGTATTTTTATATAAATTAAAAAGCTTTTTGAAAAATTTATTTGAAAATGCAAATAAAATAGCCAGAACACCTTTGTAAAAGAACAAAGTTGGAGGACTTATTTAACTAGATTTCACAACTTATTATAAAGCTATAGCCATCAAGACAATTTGGTATTGTCATTGATATGTTTGGCTGTATCCACACCCAAAATGTCATCTCGAATTTTAATCCCCATAATCCCCACATGTCAAGGGTGAGACCAAGGGTGGAGGTAATTGGAACATGGGGGCAGTTTCCCCAATGCTATTGTCATGATAGTGAGTGAGTCTCATGAGATCTGATGGTTTTATAAGTGTCTGGCATTTCCCCTGCTTGCACTTCTCCTTCTGGCCACCCTGTGAAGAAGGTGCCTTTTTAACCCTTCACCTTCCATCACAATTGTAAGTTTCCTGAGGACTTCCCAGCCATGCACAACTGTGAGTCAATTAAACCCCTTTCCTTTATAAGTTACCCAGTCTCAGGTATTTTTTCATAGCAGTGTGAGAACAGACTAATGCAGTCATAAAGATAGGAATATAGATTAATGAAACAGAATTGAAAGTCCAGATATAAACTCATATTTATAGTTGATTAATTTTTTTAAAAGGTACCCGTTTCAATGGAGAAAGGATAATCTTTTCAACAAGTGGCACTGGAGCAATTGGATATCCACATGCAAACAACAACCAAAACAACAAAACAAAAACCAAACCAAACCAAACCAAAAAATCCTTAGATTTTTACCTCATAACATAGACAAAATTAACTCAAAAGATATCGAAAGGAGGAAAATAATTTCTTTTTTCAGTCTTCATAAATTTATAGCTGGAGCAGATTCCTGTTAATTAAAGACAGATTAACAAGAGAAAAAGAAACATTTTTATGTTTAATGCATACTGTATGTACATCATGTGGGAGGAGCCTCTCAAAAGTCTCTCACAAGGTAGTGGCTTGGAGCTCTGCCTTAAATGGTATTTTAACAAAGAGCCATAAATTCTATAGTGATAAGACAAAGGGGTTCCTTGCAAAGGCAGAAAACCTGTGGGAAGGTAGTAAAATTTGTTCCCAGATTTTCCTAGCCCTGCTGGTGCCAGCTTCTGAGCTAAGAGCTGAGTTATGACCAATAAAGACAGAATTTCCATCTCTGTCTTCAGGAAGGAAGGAGAGGGAGCAGGTAGAAAGATATTTTGTCTTTGTGAATTGCTGTCCCCATCAGGCAAGCACAGGGAGAGGCAGATGTCCTTCTGTGTTTTAGTCTTCTTCAGCTCAACAATCTTCGGTATTTTAGAAAGAAATATTTTGGTTTTCTTTAGTGTTATTGACCTAAATGTAAAATTTTTGTTGAAACAAAAAATTTCTAGGGGAAAACACAGGAGAAAATCTTCGTGCTCTGCAAAGGATTCTTAGACACAAAAGTTGGAAGAGCCATTAAACAAAAAGAAATTGCTCAATTAGATTACTTTAAAATTAGAACTTCTTGTGTTTCAAAACGTAGCATTAAGAAATTGAAAAGACAAGTCACTTCCTGGAAAAAAATATTTGCGAATTATCTATCAGATACAGGGCTTGTATCCAGACTAAACAAAGAACTCGTGCAACTCAATAAAAATAACAGAAACACCAAATTTACAAATGGATAGGTTCAGAAAAGATTCTAGTGAGTGTCATCTACAGGAACAGCTACCACTATGCAGTTACAGGGATCAGCAGACACTGATGGGAGCACCTCTAGGAGCCACATAAAGACCTGCTGTTAGCAAGAGGAGCCAAGTGGAAAGCATCTTGTGAGGTTGCTGGGAGAGGCCCACAGGGGTCAATGCATGCTGTTTGTGAACAGCAGCAGGTGGTAAAAACAGATGGTGTTGAGTGCATAATGTGGGTGGGAGTACCTTCTTGCTCACACAACCCCAGCCAACTGTCATCACCATCATGGGCCATCCTCCAAGAAAAAAGGGGTGTTAGCCCCAGTTACCTATTTATGTGTGTGTGTGTGTTGGGGAGAGGAGTGGGAACACAGGGATAGTTGGTATTTTAGCATACATTTCACTGAATATAAAGAACAACAACTTCCTGCCTTGATACCAAAAGTGGTTTCAAGCCCAGAATCTCTGAGTAGATACATATATTAGGCATCTAAATACAAAACAAAACAAACAACCCCTCCCAAACAAAACAAAAAACAGTATAAATTTATGTGAGAGAAGTCTAGGACCTTTGAGTTTCAACCAAGAAACACTTCAGAAGTAGTAAATAAGTCCTGATTGTTTTTTTCTTTGTCCCATTTATTCTGCACAATAATCTCATGGAATAGGTATATTGCAAGGCAGAAAACAGAGACTCAGGTATATAAATTAATGTATCCAGGATTGCACAAGGAGCAAAACAAAAATACAGTTTTGGTTTCCTGACTTCAAATCCTGTGCTTCCATTCTGCCAAGATCTCATATTTTTTGACAAGTAAGATCCAGGAAAGATAATTTCATGTTTCTTAGCAACACACAAATTGGAAATGGTACCTTTAGCCTTGGCAAGACATATAGTGGCACCCCAGTGGGAGTGGGCCTTCTGGGATTCTTTTTTGTGCTTGTGAATAAGACATGATGTTTATATTTTGGAAAAGTCTTTCTGAGCCCCAATTTTCTCTAGAAAATGAAGATAAATTATATTTTACATTAATTAATTAATTATTTTCTGTCTCCTTTACTAGAATGTCACCTATATGAGAACAGGATCTTTACCCTATTCCCTTCCCATAGCACTGAATAAGGACATTTTGTAAATATTTGTTGAATTTGTGAAATAAATGACTATACTTTGTACTTGTCACTGTTACAGTAGGTAGCTAGTCAGACATGAGCGGGGCAGGAGAGAGGTGTCATGAAACCATCAGGTGACAGTCAGGTGGTTGTAAAAATATCTCTCTAACATAATAATTGGTCACAGCCCATGCCAGGGAAAGGCAGATTCCCAATAGACAGAAAGAAAACCCCGAAACTGGTAATCAGCAGCTTCCCAATAAGATCTCAGGAGCTGAGTGAGTGGACTCAAGCATGCACATTAAGGCAAAATGTTAGAGTTTAAGTGATATATGACCTTCCTCCAGGAACAGGGAAAAACTGCCTCAAGTAAGGGAAAAATGCCTCAAGTGAGCAAGCGTACAACATCAGTAAATCCACTTGGCCCCTCCCAAGTGCTGGTAGGCCACTGCACATGTGGACAGCCCATCCCAAGGGAAGAATCAGGGTAGAAGAGAAACAGACCCCCCAAAAGCATGCCAACATATAAAACCCCAAGTCAAAGTTCAAACTATGCACTTGAGTGTCTCAAGTCGCCCACTTGTCCCTCTTCCAAGCATACTTTACTTCCTTTCACTCCTGCTCTAAATTTTTTTTTTTTTTTTTTTTTTTTGAGATGGAGTCTTGCTCTGTAGCCTGGCTGGAGTGCTGTGGCAGGATCTCTCAGTTCACTGCAACCTCCGACTCCCTGGTTCAAGCAATACTCCTGCCTCAGCCTCCCGAGTAGCTGGGATTACAGGTACACGCCACCACACCCAGCTAATTTTTGTATTTTTAGTAGAGACGGGGTTTCACCAAGTTGGCCAGGATGGTCTTGATCTCCTGACCTCGTGATCTGCCCTCCTCGGCCTCCCAAAGTGCTGGCATAACAGGCGTGAGCCACCACGCCTGGCCTCTAAAACTTTTTAATAAACTTTCACTCTGATCTAAAACTTGCCTTGGTCTCTCACTCTGCCTTATGCCCCTCAGTCAAATTCTTTCTTCTAAGGAGGCAAGAATTGAGGTTTCTGCAGACCCATATGGGTTCACTGCTGCTAACATCACCTGAGTTAGTTCTTCAGGGCTGCTGTCACAAAGTGCCACTAACAGAATGGCTTGAACAACATGAATTTATTGCCTTATAGTTCTAGAGGCTGGAAGTCCAAGATCAAGTTGTCAGCAAGGTTGGCTCCTTCCAAGGGCGGAAGGAGAAATAGGCTCTTTGCCTATTTTCTGATAGTTTCTGATGATTTGCTGGCAATGTTTGGCATTCCTTGGCTTCTGCTGCATCACCTTGATCTCTGACTTTGTAGGAAATCAAAATAGTTTACCTCAAAATATATTTCTTTGATATATTTCAAAATGGCTGCCACAGTACCAGCTGACTGAAATTGCCCTGCAATGCTGTCTTTTGTGGGGGAAATTTGCATCTGTAGAAACACTCGTTAATGCAGCCAAGGCTTCCCTTTCTAGGCCTTCCCAGGATCTAGGAAAGATTAACTGAGACGATGACACCTTTTAAGGCCTGAAAAAAATGTTTTCCAACTATTCTACCTGAGGGCTACTACCTGTGAGGCTTCATCTACATAACAAGACCACCTTCGCTGGACAAGCCTCTTCCTTTCTCCCTCCCATAACATGTCTTGCCACTAAAACCTGGTTTACCAACAGAACCTGGTTTTGGGTTTTTGGCCATGCTTTTTCTCATTCTGTCTATATTCTCAAAATAATATATAAGCTTCTGTAACTTGTTGGGGAATTGAGTCTTGATTCTGAAAGCTCCCATGTATACCGTTAAATTCATGTGCCTTTTCTCTTATTAATCAATCTGCCTCATGTCAGTGATTTTTTCAGCAAACCTTTAGGGGGCCTTGGTGCCCACAACTTAATTTCCACATGAAATTTTCCCTGTGTGTGTGTATGTGTCCAAATAGCCCTTTGTTCTAAGAAATTACAACAGTTCTATTGGATTAGGTATCCTTATAGGCCTAACCTACTCCAGAATAACTTTATTTTAACTAATTACATCTGCAATGACCCTGTTTCTAAATAAGGTCACATTCTGAGGTTACTAGGAGTTAGGATTTCAACATATGAATTTTTGGGGACACAATTCAACTTATAACGTCACACAAACACACAACTGAGTAAAATATAGTCCTTGCCCTTGAGGCCCTCACAAAGTTCCGAAACATGACCTAAGAAGCAGTTCATAGGTTTCAAGTAACAAATGGATTTTGTGCAGTTAGAGGACCTTTTAAAATTTTAAAGTAGACTTTAATTTTCAGAGTAGTTTTAGGTTCACAGCAAAATTGAGAGGAAGTTTTAGAAATTTCCATGTATCCACTCCCCCCACACATGCATAGACTCTTATGTTACCAACATCCTTCACCACAGTGGTACATTTGTTATAATGGATGAACGTATATCATTATTACTGAAAGAATATAGTCTACATTAAGGCCTGCCTAATTGAAACAGAGTTTTGAACTGATTTGGTTTTTACATTTTAGGAGAGAAAAGCAAGTGGCAGATTATGAGGTGAAAAGTATAATACATCAATGCTTATTTTGAAAATAGGCATTGTTAGGTTAAAATGAAATGTGCACATGGGACTGAATGCTCCTAAGTTCCTTTTCCTTAACAAAGGAAAAATGCATCTAATTCAAATTGATACAATTTTGGAAATAACCATGGTTACTAAAATGGATGCACTTTACACTGATTGAGAGAAAGCATTATGACAATAGCTGCTCTTTTCACAAGAGCAAATCTCTTCATGCAACTAAAAATTAAAGAGTCAGCCTATGATTTTAAGCAACAAATTTCAGCCTGAGACTATTCATTTAAGCTAAGCAACATGAGGGCTGCTGAGATTTGGTAAACACACAGACATGTACTTCAATGAGGGAACTGTGTGATGAAAGCACGACACAATGGTTTAGAGAAGCGGAATAATATGTTTTTATTTAGTACATTTATTAGATATGGATCTAGAGAATGGGATGATATCACTAATTTCAGACATAAAGACTGTTAGACATAAAGAAACCTGAAGTTCTATTAACTGAGTTGTTGTCCACCATTATTACCACAGGGTATTGATTTTGGGAATATCCACAAACTACAAATACATTTTGTGAAAGAAAACTGACGTTTATTACTCTTAATGAGTTTCCAAAAGTCTGGGGTTGTATAAAAGTGAAATTCTTGTAGTTGAAGGTGATGCTATCACAGAGCCAGGGCCTCTGGAGCTCTGTGGCTTTCTCTGGCTTCCTGAAGGCCAGGGGCACAGGTCACAGCCATCCAGACCACACTGGCTGCTTTGCTTGAGTTTATACCTCACTTGTGGTGAAAGTCATTACCTTATGTTAGCATCTGTATTAGTCTGTTCTTGCACTGCTATAAAGAAATACCTGAGACAGGGTAATTTATAAAGAAAAGGGGATTCATTGGCTCATGATTCTGGAGGGTGTACAGGAAGAATAGCGGCTTCTGCTTCTATGCTTACAAACATGGCAGAAGGCAAAGTGTAAAATTATGGCAGAAGGCAAAGGGGAAGCAGGCATATTTTTACATTGCTGGAGCAGGAGCAAGAAGAGATGCGTCAAATAGGATGCAAATACAGAGTGTTGTTTGATTTTTCGTGTCTTTATTTAATAACTTTTTCAGCAAATATGCATTGAGTGCTATCTATGCACTATCTTCTTTGAAAATCTTTCTTACTTAATTTTAGGGAACTCTCCTAACATGATAGGAGGATGTATTTTAAATACTAGTCACAATGCACATGCTAGAGAATATATATATATATATATATATATATATATGTAATTGACCACTTTGTACTTCTAAAAATAACACTTTTATAAGTTTTGGTATGCACACATACATATACACAGGACTGCAGCTATACAAAATTTTGCATTTACAGCCATGGTTTATTTTATGTTTGTTGCTTATTTCTATTATTTTCACAATTATTTGCATTATGGCTGAGTTAGCTATTGCTATGTAAAAAAGAATTACAGAATCCCAATGACATTAACAATAAACACATACTTATGCTCCAGGTCTACTGGTCTGTTTCATGTAATCTTTTAATCTCCTTGGACCAGCAGACTCCCTGATGCATGTTCTTGTCATGGCAGTGTCAAGCTGCAAGGGGGCATGCAACACATCTTAAGGCCTAGATGTGGAATGGACGCAATGTCACTTCCAACACGTCATTCCATTAGCCAAAATATCCAAGACATGGATACAAAGAGGAGGTGACGAATTGAGGCCAATAATACAATCTACACCATGGCCTAATATTAAAAAGCAATAATTTGTCTTTTTATATCACTAAAGTGTTCGAGGAAAGTGCTTTCCAATTAGGAAGGGAATCATCATCATCGTCATCACTGTTGTCATCATTATCACCATGATATCAAACACATATCATGCCTTCCATATCCCACACACTCTTCTAAAGCTTTACATTTAATTTTTGCACCACTCCTATGACATAGTCACTAGCGCTACTTCCATTTACAGCCAAGGAAATGGAGGCACAGAGGAATTAGTAAAAATGCTAATTTTTCCTAGGAACTCAAGACTATCTGGATGAATCTCAAACTGCACTATTCTAGCACAGACTCATGTGTTGAAGGATGTGGTAATATTTAACTTCTTGTCTACCTTCAAAGTCACAGAGAGAATAAAAAGCTCTACAATGGAGTAGCCATACCACACCAGTGGGTTCTGCTAGTTACCTCTCCAATTCAGTGGCTTAGTTAATCAGATATTGTTCTGGAATGTTAGTTCATTTTACCGCCAGTAAATGAGGGAGTCGGGACCACCATTCATTATTATTCTTTTCTTTCTTAGTGATTGTTTTGTTCATCCAGTATATTTTCCTTTTAGCACACTAATGGGATTTCACTTAAACATCTTTTCTAAAGATTTTTTATGCCTTTTACATTCAATACATTAATAAATCCACTGGTACTATCTGAAGTACTTAACCCTTTATTATACAGAGCATGACAAATTTGTTCTTTGGCTATAGGAGTAACCCAGCCTAAAGAGAACCAGAAAGCCAAGGCCAGGGAAGAGTGGGGAAAAAAAATAGATTCCTAAAGCATTTCTTTCCATTTAGAATCTAGGAATGAAAACATAGGCTAAATCTGGTCCACTTTGAGAAATTACCCTCAGTAGTTTATTTAAAAAAACAACAAGGCTTCAAAGGAGTATGTGAGAATACATAGATTCACATTTTTTGGTATGTCTTTATATATCATCAATTTTATGGGATTTTAAAAGTCCTCTAATTCAGTTTTAGATGTGATTCTCAAACTTTTTGACTCAATTTTTGTTCCTATATATCCCGTGTATTCAAAGTTTTTCGCTGCATGTATTAAGTTATATCTTCCCCCTGTTATTTTCATTCATAGGCATTTAAGAATTATTTATACATTCAGGAATTAGGAAAACACTTGCTAATTTGTTCAGTAACAGGCATGTTGCTCAGCATGCTCTGTATGCCAGGGGCTGAGCTGGCTGCTAGAGTCACCAAGTGCACAAGGCTCAGGTTCCTTTTTTCCAGAGAAGTGTTTTAGGACTTACCTTGGAATCTGACCTTGATGCTCCAGTCATTTGCAGGTTGGATAACATAGACTTCACCTGAAAGGGAATGCTGTGATGTTTTATAATAGCAAGCAAGAGTTACTCTTTTCAGGCTCTTCCCAAACCATAAACAACATGCCACTCACTAGACATGTTTAGCAAATGCATTTGATAATGATATCATTTTGGAGAGTTTTCCTATTTGAAATCTTTTGGCTTCTCAGCTTTAACTGCAGTGATAGCTACTGGATTACAAGGTAGCGTTTCATGACAAGGTGGAAATGCTCTCTGATGAATACCTGTGTCCCCCACAACACTAAGCTAGACAGCAGAAGGAGGAAGACAAATGCTGAGTGAGGCTGGGCACAGCCTTGCCTTTTCCTTGGCACTGATTTGCTTTGGTAAAACAGACATCATTTTTAAAATTCAAAACTATTTATTGACTTCTTATTGTAGACTGGACACTGAGGTAAACATTGGAGATAAAAAAGGGAAAAAGAGGTGTGATTCTTGACTTCCTGGAGCTTTCACTAAGGGCTAGAGAGGAGGGGGAAGGTAGCAGTTACTAAGTAAATAAATGGACACATAAATAAAACAGTTTTAAATTGTGATCTATGTAAAGAGAAACCAAAGGGGCTATGATATGGGATAATTGGCCAGGGAGAGCCAAAGGGGGATCCTTGCTCCTGGTGCTTGCTTCTTAGGGGTCTGTGAATGACGCCCCTCCTCGTGCTCAGATAAGAAATCACCTAAAATAGTTGCTTTAAAAAATGATGGATGAAACAATGGTTCATGCATGAGGTTCTCTGGAGACCTTGACATTCTGCTCTCTTAAGTCCCAAACAGAGGAAGCCTTGGCTTTCCTGCAAAAGAGTAATGCATTCTGAGGTCCTGTTGAGCTGACAAATAGCTTTTCTTCAATTTAAATAACTTATGGTATAGAGACAATGACTTCTGTGGAAATGTTTCTGAAAGCTCAATTATTAAAAGAAAAATTACTCACAGCTAGAACATGTTTTTAGTTTTTAATATGTTTGCATGTGTCCCATACTGAACTAGTGTTACACAAATACTCCTATACTGATCACATAATAACATAATATTAACATGACTAATTAATTCTTCCTATCATTATGAGCAACTTGGTTTAGGTTAATTAGCACAATGCTAAACACATAGAAGGTATTTTAAAATATTTGTTTGTTGAGTGCTGTGACACCTGAAGAACTTGAAGAATGAAACCAATGTACTTTAGCCCAGACCCATCGTGGCTGGATAAGTTCCCAGTAAACTGCCTTTCTGCCAATTCTTCTCTAAGAGATTTCTTTAAACAAGTAGTGCACGTACACACACATACTGTTTTTCAGGAATATCTGTATTACCTACAAAATCAGAAAATTTAGAGCAAAATTTAAGACAATTTTTAAAACATAGATGAGCTGATTTTATAAACCTCTCTCTTCTAGAAGGTGGATTTTAGCATATTGCTTACAGTGAGAGCCACTGAGCTATGCCGATAGGTGGTCGCATGCTATCCTGCCTACTGAGTGTTGACTGATACACAGCCAACTGGACAGGACAGGGCAGGATGGATCAGGTTGTGGAAGCCAAACTATGAACCCACACCCACCCTTTCCTTGCCTGAACACAAGGCTAGAAGTGGATAGCCTCACTAAAGGAACAGAGCTTGTCTGCCTTGGGTCTAACCAAGGTGAAGGAATAAGCTTGGCAGAGTTTTCCCACCTGTGAAGTGGGTCTACAGATTATCAAATCCTGTGTCTCCCCTCACCTACCTCTAGTAGAGTCATTGACAGAATACCTCTTTCTTGCTCTATCATTAGCCCAGGGTGACTTGTAGAAGCACTGGCTTTTCAATAGCTAGAACAAAAGAAGGATGGAAATGGGAGTTGCAAAGAAATATCCTGATAATGTTTTTATTTCCTTCCTCCCTTCTTCTCATCCTCTCTCCTTTCTTTCCTACCTTTCCTCATTTTTGCAAAAGCATGGCGTACCTACTTGCTTCTGTCATCCATTGGGAATGAGCAAGGCTGCCAATGATAAGACATTTACTGGTCTATCGGACTTAGCACCTTTCTCTGATTCTGTGGCCACACCAACACAGGGATATTCTCACTGGCTGTCCTTGGACAAATGGGCAGCAGGTCTCAGCGGCCATGTTGACTGACAATAATGCACTGGTCAGTCTCAGCTGAAAGCAACTCCCAGCAAACAGGGCCTGGGTCCAAGACAAACTTACATAATTTTCAGACTCATTGGAGGTGTATAATTAAACAGATGCTGAGGGCTGGCTTTTGACAGTTTATGTCCCTCAAGTGAGTTAACAAATAGTAAAAGCCTTCCCTGTAAAATGTAAAGTGAACCTTTTTTGCTATTCCTTTCCTTGGTCACACACAAGCTGCAGGAGATTATAGAGATTAGTTGGCTAGTAGTGTTATTCAAATTTAATGCACACATAAATCACCTGGGAGTGAAGATTCTAATTCGGTAGGTCTGGGGTGAGGCCTAAGATTCTGCATGTCTAATAAGCACCCAGCTAATGCTGCTGTTGCTGCCCCAGGACCACACTTTGAGAAACAAGGGGCTATTATATTGGAATACCTGTGCTCCTATTTTTCAAGGATGTTTACTTTTGTCAGATTCAGTTTGAAAATGTGTTCTTAAGTGATGCTTAGTGGGATTCCTTAGTGAAGCTCTACAAATTAGCTTGAAAGACAGAAACCCGAATACAAATAGATAGTCTACCCACAACTAAAGCCTTTTTAGAGGCTAAAGTTTATCCATGTCTTTATAAACCTTGTTTTTTTTTGATATGGTCAAAGCGTGGAGAACCACAAGGAAAACTTAGTGATCATGAAAGTCAATGGTAGAGGCCATTCCAGTTTACAGGATACTTGTGACTGAGACAAGGAGACACTTCCTATATTGCCAGAGACTCTTTGCAAACCTGGACAACAAATTGACTTCTCTCTACCTCAGTTTCTATAGTCACAAGTTGCGAATGTGATAGGATGTATCATGTATAATATAGCTTGAAGGATTTGGTGAGGTTCTTTATTGAGATTATGCAATCAAACATGGGAATTATGACTTATAGACTACATATTCAATCATATTGCATTCAGATGGATCTAGGCAAATACATAAAATATAATTTTTAATAACAAAAATGCATAAAATGAGACAGTGCAAATGCTTACCATGTAGTAACACATTTTATTTCTCAAACAATGCTATGAGAAAGGAATTATAGTTATCTCTATTATTTGGATAGACAAATAGAGATGCCAAGGTGATAAGTAACTTCACCCTGCATTAAACCAAGCTCATGGACCTTTTATGGTAGGAGGTTGCAAACTGGGGATCTGTAGATAGGTTTTGTTTGAGCTGCCTGGAGATCTTTTAAAAGTTGAATTAGTTTTGACACTTACAGGCTATTTCCCACTTCTTTTGGAAAAAACAGAGTATTTGGCGCTTTAGGCTTGCATTTCCACATAGCAACAATCAGCTGGTACAGATAGCGACTCTGCCCTTATAAGGGCTGTGAGTACTCCAGCTTGTTGTAGTTCTACCTGGCCCACTTTACTTATATTTATTATTATTTCCTCACTTGTGCACTATTTGAGTTGGAAACCCCGGTGTACCTATCATCATCAAAGATCTTTATATAACTGGGAATGACCACCCTTCGCTAGTGTTTTGTTGAGGTTTCACAGGGATGAAAGTCACTGTGCTGGGTTCCACAGAACCTAGGCACTGAGGACAAATAGCTCAGCCCTCAAGTTTTTTTTTCCGATGACATCACAGACAGAACTATTTCCAGAATTCCAGAAGTATAATATTTATTTCTATATTACAGTATGATATATATACTATATGCTTCTATATTATATTAATATTTACATCTATATTACAGTATAACATTCTGTGTGCCATCAAGGAACATGGTTAAGTAACACTATGGCTCAAGGTGCGACTCCACACTGACGTAGCAGTAGTGACTCCGTTGTGCTCCATTTTGCCTGTCCATCTCTTCTCAGATTTGCCATTTTGTCTGCATCTTGATTTTTGCAATAATCCATGCTGTAAGATGCAAAGGGAGCTGAGTAAATTTCAAGGACTTGTACTTTAAAAGTCTTCATACTACACACACACGCACACACACACAAACACATACACGTGTGTGTATATATATGTGTGTATATATATATACAGAGAGAGAGAGAGAAATGTGAGATAGTTTTACTTTTTAGATGTTTTATCTTTTAGAAAAGAATTGGGTTATTTTCTTAGATAGTTAGTTGAATCAAGGCATTTTCAAAGTCAATTTGGGTATGACTGACTCGTCACCTTCCACAATCTGGGTCATCAGTGGCATGGTTCTTCTATACAGAATGTCTGGGCCCTGAAGACAGTCAGGGAAGAGTATGTGTGTGTGTGTGGTGGGGGGCGGGGGTGGGGATGGGGCATGGAGATCTATTCTGATGAAGAGAGGACTGATTCAAGGGAAAACTATTTTTCTGGCCTGGGTTAGTAGGAAGGGGCAGAGTATATATGGATAAGGCAGGTGAACATGCTTTTAATTAGCCTGAAACACCAGCTGGCATAGATTTCACCTGCATCCAAGCAATCGTGTAAGGATAGGAGCTTAGGAGAGAGCTCATTGTTATTCCTGAGGCATTCCCGGGTCCTCGGCCTCTAAGAAAGCAGCACCTGCTATAAATCTCCGTGTTCTCTGATTTCTGCAATCTTTCAGCAAAGCCCTTCTGCTCTCCATTCTGGAGCAGTTTCACAGAATGTGTTTTTGAACTATCTGTCCCCAAGAAGTTTCAGGGCCTCAACCAGTCCACACAGCTTCAAGGGCAGCAGGGGCAGGTGCAGGAATGCTGGGCCCATCCTAGAGACTGATAGTGGAGGCTGTGCAAGCAGGTATAGCTGGCAGGCAGAACACAGAAGTCATGGAAAGGGAGAAAAAAGAGAGCAAGTTGTTTCTGAGGGCAAGGTGTGCGTGTGTGTGAGTGGGGTGGGGTGGGGTGTTGGAGGAAAAGGTTGGGGCAGAAAAAGTAAGCAGGAAAAGGAGGAACTGGCAAGCAGAGGGGACAGTCAACAAGGGTTTGTGAAGTGTGATGGGGAAAGGAATATAATTTCAATAGCAAACTTTACTGGGCTCTCCTATGGGACAGGCACTGCTTTAAGCACTATGAGGTACTATTATAATTCTCATTTTACAGAAGAGGAAGCAGAAAGACAGCAGGGTTAAACAATTTGGTTAATGTCACACGGTTAGTAATTTGTAGCACTAGGATTTAAACCCAGACGGTCTAATCCTACTGCCCAAGCTCATCAAACCCCCTGCTGCTAGGGTACTTATAAAGCAGAAGAGGATGAAAGAAACAAGGCTGAGGGTGAGCTGTTTAGAAGAGAGAGGAACTGAGAAGGTGGAGAGTTCTCCACCTGCTGGAATCACATCCTGGGTGAGGGCCACCTGAGACTGGAAACCAGAGGACCAAGGTGTCTGCTTTTGCTGCACCACTTGTTAATATGACTTTGAGCCTCAGTTTCCTTATCTGCAAAGTATGAGTGACAACCTGAGTAACTGCTTGTAAGGATGAAATGAAATAAGTTAGAACACACTTTGGGCATTCTCAGATGCTTTGTATGTGGTGGGACTCTAGATGCTGAGCTATGTTTCTCTTAACACATAAAGTAGGAAGCTTAATTTGATCATTGCACCTGCATTCACAGGAAGCCACTTTTCTTCTGTGATGCATTTTCCTGGCTAATGTTCCTATGTCTCTGCTGTTGGGCAGAGCTGTCATCTTCTTTATCTGGCTCTTGTGGCTCTGTTGATTTTTCCAAGTGTCTGAAAGAGCTGTACATTTTCTTACTTCACAGGATCAGTGATCCTAGCCTCCTGAGCCTGTATTATTGAACATCCTGTTACTTACTGCCACTGCTAAGTGGTATCAGTGGCAAAGTCACTGCTATGAACTCAACAGCCACTTGGACTCCTAAAGACCATATTTTTCCTATCTTGCCATAGCAAGATGATTTGCTCCAAGTCAAACAGAATTGATTTTTCAATTTTCTTTCCAGCGACTAATACCATCCCAGAGGTTACCAATCCTTGTTTTTACTGTCCCTCATGTTGTTTAAAGGATGCTTTCTAATTGGATGAAGTGGGAAGAGAAAGGGTGTGTGCAATTGGGAGGAGAGGAAGCAGGCAGTAATACCACCTTCTTCCCATCTCACCTTTACATAGGTCATCTCAACACATCACTGTCTCTACCCAGAACCAGTGTAGGGACAGCAGTGACATGGGCAAGGCTTAGTGCGCTTTGGCCTTCCCTTTTGGGGACCTGCTCAGCAATCCACTTCGCCTTCTTACCCTTGTTTCATTCTCTGCAGCTTGTTAATTCTTACTTAAACTGTCACTGCTGCTAATGGTGGTTGACTTTTAATAGAAAAATGTGAAAAAGAAAAGCCTTTAAGACTGCCCCCCCCTAAAATACATATTTCTGGAGATAGAATGTTCAGTTTTGGCACCAGAATTCCTTGTACCCCAAATTCCTGATTCTGGGCCTTTTCACTTTTGGCTCCTTCTGCTTTGCTTTTCCTCCTGATCGTCAACTGGCTCTATGCATTTCTTCATTCAGGTCTCTGCTCAAATGTCACCTCCCTAGAGAAGTTTTAAATTGCTTTTTTATGTAGTCATAATCCCCCGCCAACCCTGATCTTGCTTTATTTTTTTCATAATGCTTATCACTACTTGACACTATATTCTATATTTGTTAATTGTCTGTGTACCTCGAAAAGAATGTAATCTGTATGAACGTCAGGAGCGTCGTCTGTTTCAATTACTGCTGTGTTCGCTAAAGCAGGATCTTATTAGGGTCTATAAGATTTTTAAAATATATTCAAGTAAGTCATTGAAAAAAGTTTTTCTCATGCTTCCTAATCTTGTTAGATATGATATGCCTTCATTTTTCTGTTTGATATGTTTATGGCTTTAGCATTTTTTCTACATTTATTCATTGATTAATAAAAATCTTAACATTTATTAAGTTGCAGTGATTGGGCTGGTGCTGAGAATAAAAAGGTAACAGCACAGTCCCATTCTTCAAGATGCTCACAGTCAAGTGAAGAAGGCAGATGAGTAACAGACAAGTGCAATGGATGTGAGATGCGAAGCTTGGCAAGACAATACACATTCTGTAGCATCTCAGAATAAATGAGAATTAGCCAGAAGACCTGGGGGTATGGGGATGTCTTTCCAGGCAGAGACTAGTGTATGTTAAGGTCAAGAAGGTATAAGTGGCTGAGTGTGGTGGCTCACACCTGTAATCCCAGCACTTTGGGAGGCCAAGGCAGGCAGATCACCTGAGGTCAGGAGTTGGAGACCAACCTGGCCCACATGGTGAAACCCTGTCTCTACTAAAAAAATAAATAAATAAATAAATAAATAAATAAATAAATAAATAAATAAATAAATTAGCGAGTATGGTGGCAGGTGCCCCTAATCCCAACTGCTCTGGAGGCTGAGGCAGGAGAATCACTTAAACCCGGTAGGGGGAGGTTGCAGTGAGCCAAGATTGTGCCATTGGACTCCAGCCTGGGCGAAAAGAGTGAGACTCTGTCTCAATAAAAAAGAAGAAGAAGAAGAATTAAAAAAAAAAGAAGGTGTAAGCATTCATGGCAAATCCTTTGAGGTGAAGGCAGTTCAAAAAGCCCATCCTAAAGGACATGAACAAATATTGAGTGAGAAATCTGAAGATAAGTGAGGTGAGGTGGGAAATTATAAGAAGTAATGAATGCCATTTCAAAGAGTTTGAACTTCTTTAAAGACACCAAAGGATTTTAAATAAGGGAAAAATATAATTAGATATGTGTTGATTTACCCTGCTGCTTCCTCAAGGATTTTCTTTTACACCCAGAATTGGCATTGGCCACAATAGGTGAGCTGTGTAGCTATGGGAAAAAATTTTATTTATTTACATTAAATATGACTGCAGTCAGCAACAAAAAGATAAAAAGGATCTAAAGTATACAAACAGTATTCTGGTTAGCATACTTATTTTTTAAACCTTTTTAAATAGAAAATTTTAAGCATAAACCAAATAAGCAAATTGTATAATTAGCCTTCATCTGTCCATCATTCAGATTCAGCAATTGTCAATATTCTATGATTCTTGTTTCATCTGAACCCCTACTCATTTATCGCTGTTACCCTACCTCAATTATCACTGTTACAGTTCTAACAGCTCTTTTAAATATACAGTTTATATATGTCTATTGAAGTGCACCAATCCTAGCTGTAGGATTTTGACTCCTGCCCATGCCTCTGCTCAGGGCAGGATTGATTGACAGCCATCTAAGAACCAATAATGGGACACTGGAGCCCTGTAGAAGAAGCTGAGGGTTGAGGTAGAACAAAGCAGGAGGGGCAGAGGAGGGTAGAGACTGTCATAAGCAAACTGTACACTTTCCTATGCTTTCTTTTTTGATCTCACTCCCACTGAAACTTCCAGGCCTTTGGTCCTCTTATGCCAATGACAAGTCATGTGGGAAGGATGAAATTAGTTCATATCATAGGGTGCTATTTCTTTCTAAACTCTATGGCATTTTCTTTAAATCAACTTTATTGAGGCGTAATTTAGATACAAAAAGCACATCCACTTTAAATGAGCAGTTCAATAAGTATTGACAAATTTATGTATACCTGTGAACCACCACCACAACCAAGATTTAAGGCATTTCCATCTCCTCAGACAGGTTCCCTGTGCCCCTTCCCAGTCCTATGCCTCCAACCATGGCAACCTCTACTGATATTCCTCACCTAAGATCAGTTTTGCCTTTTCTAAAATTTCATATAAAAGGAATTATTCAGTATGTACTGCTTTGTGTCCAGTGTCTATTCTTTCGAGCATAATATTTGTGATGACAATCCATTTTGTCATGTCAGTAGTTCCTTTCTTTCTATTGCTGAGCAGTATTCCATTTAGATGGATATGCCACAAATTAGTGATCCATTCACCTGTTGATTTTTTTTTTCAGTTTGGGGCTATTACAAATAAAGCAGCTATGAATATTTGTATATTGGTCTTTGTATGGAAAATATATTTTTGTTTCTCTTTGGTAAATACCTAGAAGTAGAATTACTGTTAAACAGATGCATATTCAACTTTTTAAGACACTTTCAAGTAGTTTTCCAAAGTGGTTGTATTATTTTACATTCCACCAGCAATATATGTGAGTTCCAGGCACTCCACATCTTTGCTTACATTTAATGTGGTCCATCTCTTATGTTATTCATTCTAGAGGATGTGTAGTGCTTTCTTACTGAGGTTTAATTTTGCCTCTGATGACTAATGATATTAAGTGCTTTTGCATGTGCTTAATGGTATTTGTATATCTTCCTTTGAAAAATGCCTGTTTAAGTTTTTGAATCATTTATTGGGTTTTTATCTTTTCATTATTGAGTTATATAAATTCTTTCTATATTGTATATGTCTTTGTCAGATGTATGTTTTGTGAATATTTTCTGTCAGTGTATGGAGGAAATTTTTATTAATTCGAGATGGAGTCTTGCTCTCTCACCCAGGCTGGGGTGCAGTGGCATGATCTTGGCTCACTGCAACCTCCACCTCCTGGGTTTAAGCAGTTCTCCTGCCTCAGCCTCCCGAGTAGCTGGGATTAAAGGCACATGCCACCATGCCCGGCTAATTTTTGTATTTTCAGTATAGACAGGGTTTCACCATGTTGGCCAGATTGGTCTCAAACTCCTGACCTCGTGATCTGCCTGCTTCAGCCTCCCAAAGTGCTGGGATTACAGGCATGAGCCACTGCGCCTGGCCCAATTTTTCAGTTTTCTAAATAATTATTGATTTCTGTGTCATCAAAAAATCTCACCTCTTAAGATCTTGAGGATATTCTCTTATGTTTTATTTTAAAACTTTATAGTTTTAGGTTTTACATTTAGGTCAAGGTTCCAGTTTGAATTAATTTTTGAATGGGGTGAAGGAGGGGTCAAGGTACACTTTTTGAGGTCAGTTTGGATGTGTGGGTTTAAGGTGTCTTTGAGAACCTAGGATAGAACAATTAGGATTATAAACATAAATTCAGGAATGATTATCATTTAAGCACATAAGCTGTAGTTGACTTCTTATACATGGGACACAAGGATCAGGCAAAGGTAAAGGTAAAGGATTAAATGAAGACTTAAGCGTTGCTGCCACTTACAGGACCAGTGAAGGAGAATAGAAAGCATCCAGGAAGATGGGAGTGGTTTGAGAGACAAGATTGAGAAAATTTCACACAGGAGGGTAATGTCCAAAATATCAAATGCTGAATGCAGGTGAAGGAAGAAAAGATCAATATTAACAGGACTGTGTTTGTTTGTTTGTTTGTTTGTTTGCAAGTAACAAATCTGACTCAAACCAGCTTTGATTAAGAGACAAATATATGGACCAGGTAGTCCACTAAGAGCAAAGATAGAAGCTGGTTTTCTATACAACTGCACCAGAAAAGAGAAGACTTCTGGACTCTGTGTTTCTTAAGTTTCCTTCCTGCATGTTGGCTTCATTTTCTCCTGTTATAAATCAGCAGTTCAGTGAAAGACAGGGTAATTAATATCTCTTGGCTTAAAATCTTACAGCTTCTCCATTATAGAGTAACTGAGGCTTTCTCTATTTCACTTTTTTTTTTCTCATCTCAGTTAAAAAAAATAATCTCTGGAAGGGTTCTTTTTTTTTTTTTTTTGAGACAGAGTCTTGCTCTGTTCCTCAGGCTGGAGTGCAGTGGTGCGATCTAAGCTCACTGCAAGCTCCGCCTCCCGGGTTCACGCCATTCTCCTGCCTCAGCCTCCTGAGTAGCTGGGACTACAGGTGCCCGCCACCATGCCTGGCTAATTTTTTCAATTTTTTAGTAGAGACGGGGTTTCACTGTGTTACCCAGGATGGTCTTGATCTCCTGACCTCGTGATCCACCCGCCTCGGCCTCCCAAAGTGCTGGGATTACAGGCATGAGACACCACGCCTGGCCTGGAAGGGTTCTGAGTAAGCCTAGCTCTAGACAAATCCCACTGCCTGGATAAGTGTTATGAGAGATGTGATGCCAAAGATGGCATCTCCAATTGGAAATATAGTATAATGTAGCAGTTAAGAGTATAGACTCTCGAGCTGCCTGGCTGGGTTCAGATTTCCAGTCACTCACTTACTAGCTATGTGAAAAAGTGATATAGTTTGAATACTTGTCCCCACCCAAATCTCATGTTGAATTATAATCCCCAAGACTGGAGGTGGGGCCCAGTGGGAGGTGTTTGGGTCATAGGGGTGGATTCCTCATGACTTAGTGCTGTCCTCATGATATTGGGTGAATTCTTGTGAGATTTGGTCATTTAAAAGTGTGGGTACCTTCCCCCACCACTCTCTCTCTCTTGCTCCTACTTTCATCATATAATGTGTCTGCTCCCCCATCACATTCTACTGTGATTATAAGCTTCCTGAGGCCTCCCAAGAAGCCAAGCCAATGTCAGCATCATGCTTTCTGTAAAGCCTGCAGAACTATGCACCAACTAGACCTCTTTTCTTTATAAATTACCCAATCTCAGGAATTTTTTATAGCAATGCAAAAACAACATAATACCAAAAAATTGGTACTGTGGGGTGGGACATTGCTATAAAGATACCTGAAAATTTGGAAGTGACTTTGGAACTGGGTAACTGGCAGAGGTTGGAAGAGCTTGGAGGGCTCAGAATGTGGGAAAGAGAGTTTCTGGGGTGCCAGATGAGTTGGTCTCCCCTGTGTGAGAGGGGAGCCATGGGTGGCCTCTGAGGAGAAAGCTCTCCTTATTGCCTTCATGTCTTTCTGCCCCGAGATCATAACTGCTCAGCAGCATTCCACAGGTTGCTCAGGGAGATAACACTCCCTTGAAGCAGTGGAGTATAATCAAACATCTTGGCTCCATCTGAAACCTACTCCTATCCATTTCAGTCTTGATAAGTTAAAGATATTAAGTAGTTTAGGCACATGCCTTTGCTCAAGGAAATTCACAGAAACCACTACTGCTATACATCTTGTTGAATGACTCATAAGTTCTCCTTCACTGATTAATCCTTTTCCTCATCCCTTCCTACCCCTCCCATCTGCCCTAAGAACAAAGAGCTTGTAAACCAATAAATTAGGCAAAGCCAAAGAGCTCTGGGCCGTGAGCAAGCCTCTGACACTCCAGTCCCCTGGACCAGCCTTTTAAACACTTATTCTGTCTCTTTCTAACTCCTTTGTCTCTGCCGGACTTGGGGAACCTGCCGGGTGGTGTGGGGCTGGTTTCCCCAACACAGAAGAAGACAGCAAGATGGGGAAAGTTTGGTACTTCTTAGAGACCAGTTAAATGGTTGTGACTGAAATGTTAATAGTGATATGGACAGTGAAGGCCAGCCTGATGAGGTCTCAGATGGAAATAAGGAACTTATTGAGAACTGGAGCAAAGGTCACATGTATCATACCTTAGCAACAAACTAGGCTACATTGTGTCCATGGCCTAAGGCTCTGTGGAAGTTTGAACTTCAGAGTGAATGATTTAGGGTATCTGGTGGAAGAAATTTTGAAGCAGCAAAGGATTCAAGGTATGGCCTGGCTGCTTCTAACAGCCTAATTCAGATGTGGGAATAAAGAAATGACTTGAATTTTGAATTTATATTTAAAAAGGAAGCAGAATGTAAAAGATTGGAAAATTTACACCGTTGCCACATAGCAAAGGAAAAAAAAGCTTTTTCTGGGAGAGGAATTCAAGCAGGCTGTGAAGCAACCACTTGCTAGAGATATTTACATAACTAAAAGGGAGTAAAATGCTAATATCCAAGACAATGATGGGAAAAGGCCTCAAAGATATCTTTGGGATCTTCATGGCAGCCCCTCCTATCACAGGCCTAGTGGCCTAGGAGGACTAAATGGTTTCATGGGTCAGATCATGCTGCTCTGCACAACCTCAGGACACTGCTTTTTGCATCCAGGCTGCTCCAGCTCCAGCTGTGTCTCAAATGAGCCAAGGTATAGCTCAAGCTTCCATTTTGGAGAGTGCAAGCCATAAGTCTTGGCAGCTTCCATGTTGTGTTAAGCCTGCAGGCACACAAAATGCAAGAGTAAAAGAGGCTTGGCAGCCTCTTCCTACATTTCAGAGGGGTATGAGAAAGCCTAGGTGCCCAGACAAGAGCCTACTGAAGGAGTGGAGTCCTCAAAAAGAATCTCTACTAGGATGGGACAGAGGGGAAATGTGGGATTGGAGGCCCTACACAGATTTCCCACTGTGTGTGGGGTACTGCCTAGTGGAGTGGTGAGAAAAGGACCACTATCCTTCAGATCTGAGAATGGTAGATCCACCAGGAGCTTGCACTTTGCTCCTGGAAAAGCCTCAGGCGCTCAACATCCTGTGAGAGCAGCCTTGGAAATTTTACCCTGCAAAACCATAAAAACAGAGCTACCCAAGGCCTTGGGTGCCCACCCCTAGCATCAGTGTGCCCCGGATGTGGAACATGGAGTTAAAGGAGATTACTTTGGAGCTTTAAGATTTAATGACTGCTCTGCTGGGTTTTGAACTTGCATAGGGCCTGTAGCCCCTTTCCTTTGGGCAATTTCTCCCTTTTACTCAATTCCTATATCTCCATTGTATCCTTGAAGTAAAAAACTTGTTCTGAAGGGCCTTGCCTTGTCTCAGATGAGACTTTGGACTTTTGAGTTAATGTTGGAATGAATCAAGACTTTAGGAGACTGTTGGGAAGGCAAGACTGTATTTTACAATGTGAGAAGGACATGAAATTTGGGAAGGGCCAGGGGTAGAATAATATAGTTTGGATATTTGTCCCTTCCCAAATCTCATCTTGAATTGTGATCCACAATGCTGAAGGTGGGCTGGGTTGTGGGTATTTTTGGTCACGGGGATGGATCCCTCATGTTCTGGTGCTGTCTTCATGAAAGTAAGGTCTTGCAAGATTTTAAAAGTATGCAGCACCTCCCCACAACTCTCTCTCTCTTGCTCTTGCTTTCACCATCTGACATGCCTGCTTCCCCTTTGCTTTCTGATATGATTGCAAGCTTCCTGAGGCCTTCCCAGAAACTGAGCAGATGTCAGCACCATGCTTCTGTAAAGCCTGCAGAACTATAATCCAATTAAACCTCTTTTCTTTATAAATTTCCCAGCCTTAAGTATTTCTTTACAACAATGCAAAAATTTCCCAATACAGGAGGGGAGACTATAATTGTCCTTTGTGTAAACCGAAGGGCATCTGGAGGATTGGCACTGAGCATATGACAGTGACATCCAATGAAAGGTGGATGTAGAACCCAAACTGAATTGCTTTGTGAAGTGAATGGGAGGTGGAGAAGTAGACAATGAACAAAGACAATTCTAGAGGCTCAGTTGTGAAGAGAGAGAGAGGGGGTAATATGGTAATTACACAGGGATCAATGCCTGCATGTTTTAAAAACTAAGGGTAAAAATTTTAGTATAATTTATATATTAAGAAGATAGAGCCACTAAAAAGATGTTAATAATAGAGGTGAAATTAAGTGGAATGATAAGCAAGGAACACGAAAAGTAAAGGAAGGATGCAATCAAGAGTTCTGTCTGGAAGGATTAGTCTCAGGCAAGCTCATACTGAAAGAAAGAGAAAAGAAGAATGTGGAGGAGAGAAATACGTAGATGGAAGGAAGGGCGAAGATGGAAAGGCAAGCATCTTGAAAGGTGAGACTATGTCTTAGGTGTCTTTGAATTGCCACCACTCAGTGTGGCACTGCATGTGGTAGGCATGAATAAACATTTCTGCAGTTGAATTGAGCTCATGCCCAATGGCCTCTGTTCTCTCCATAAAGTTGAGGTTTTGACATTGAAGGGAATGAGAAGAACATAAGGTAAGGAAAGGATGGAAAGATAAAGCTATGGACTAGCTTTGTGGTATATAGAATAGATGCCATTGTCAGACAGATGAAGATGCTTTTCTTTTTATGCACCTTGTAAAGTATGTGCAATATGGAGAGGGAATTGTTTCATCCTCAGTGTGCAAAAGAAAAGAGTAATTACTTTTGTGCAGATAGGATTTTTAAGTCTCTATATTAGAAGTCTGTCTTCATTAGAAGTTTGTTGGGGTTCAAAAATGTTGCAGAGAAGATTTTGGACTTCAACTCTGATTTTACTCTCTCTTTTTTCTTTCTTTTCCTTAATTCCTTATATCTCACTGCATATTATCAATTTAGCTGATCCCTCTCTAGTCTAACCAGCAGTACCTTTACCCAAAGCTTTCAGAAATGTCCAAGGTTTAAACTCAAGGAGTCAGAGATGTTACTCTAAGGGTCACCTCTCTTCTGGAGAATAGAATATAAGAAGAACATAAGACAAAGCACAGATTTTTATGAAACATGATTGAGTGGAGCAAATGTAACACAGTTCTAAATTTACAAATAATCCTTAATGACCTTCTGCTAGATAAAGCAGCAGATTGGATAAAATGCATATTTCATGCTGTATATTTATAACTATTCATCTATATTCTGAAATGCAATAATGTTTCGAATATATTAATTTGAATATCAAATATAATGTATAGATATTCTGGTTACTGGGCACTGTTATTTCCTATGAAAGCAATGAAGGAAAGGTTATTAGATTTTTTAAGGCCGTTTTGCACATGTTTCCGTCACCATCATTCTGCCTAAAGCTTAAAATCTTTAGGACCCACATTTTTACTACAAAAGTAGTTTATATCCTTTGTATGCTGGTGAATTTCATGATCATGAGGTATCCTATCTATCTTTCTTTCTGTATTAGTCCATTTTCACACTGCTCATAAAGACATACCTGAGACTGAGCAATTTACAGAAGAAAGAGGTTTAATTGGACTTAGAGTTCTACGTGGCTGGGGAAGCCTCACAATCATGGTGGAAGGCAAGGAGGAGCAAGTCACATCTTATGTGGATAATGGCAGGCAAAAAATGAGAGAGCTTGTGCAGGGGAATGCCTCTTTTTAAAATAATCAGATCTCAGAGACTTATTCACTATCATGAGAACAGAATGGGAAAGACTTGCCCCCATGATTTAATTACCTCCTACCAGGTTCCTCCCACAACATGTGGGAATTCAAGATGAGATTTGGGTGGGGACACAGCCAAACCATATCATCTTTCCTATTTTATTCAAATGTTACTAGGAACTGATTAAATTCTAGAAAACAGTAAACACTCAAACATCACCTACTATATGAAGGCTTCCCTAGCCTTAACCAGCTATTGGTTTCTTCCTCTATCTGTTCCTGTAGCTTCGTGGTCTTTTACCCACCTATAAAAATCTATATAGTGTTTTATAGTTACATTTTGATTTTATTATTACCTTCTCTAGATTGATGTAAGGCAGAGATTATGTCATTTTTCTCTTTGTATCTTTTGGGAGACAATTTTCTTGGCATTTCTGCACATATTGCATCAATTTTTATTATGGACTGTATTTTCAAAAATGTTTGTATAGCAAACAACCTTGGAAAATGTAGTGTCTTACCCTACAACAGAAGGTAGACTTTCTTCTGGCTAGGATAATAAAAATATTTCCCTTGAGGCAAATGATTAGGAGGTATTCTAGCAATCTCCTTTAAAGGATGGAATTTCCTAAGCTCCAGGTTCCTCAGCTGTGACACAAATCCACTGTGGGTGCAGTATCCACCTGGGATGCCTTAATATCACTTGCATACAACTAAGAGGAGGGTGGTGATGGAGAAGGGAGATTGGTGTGAACATGAAGCTCATACTGCCCACTGTGCTGTGAGTAATCAAGTCCTTTTCTCTGACCCCAGAGTATCATGTCTTCTACAACATCCACGAAATGGGGCAGGCTTGTTAGCTTGCAAGTAAGGTAAAGTCTCAGACCTTCACAGTTCTTGGCAGTTTCTCTAATATATAGCATGTTGTCTGGAAGTGTAGGGGAATGAAGTAGATTTTCAGTTTTCGAGTACATTTAATCTAACATACTTTGATTTTAACTACAGAAGAGATATTTTCATCATTTTTTAAGTTACAAGCTGTATTATCTTTGTAAATTACTTAATCTGTCTATATCTCAGTTTCCTTATGTGTAAAATGGGAAAAATAAAAGTATTGGCCTTATAGGTTTGTGGTGGAAATGGAGATGTACTGACAAGACCCCTCTTCTAGGAAAGACCTGCCCAGCTGTAAAGACAATAGTCAGCAGACGGCCTCCATCAATTTGCCCTTAAGGTCTGCCTGAGATGCAGAGTCACATTACCTGAGATCATTCCCACGTTTGGGCAATCTGCATCCAGTAATGGTGCAGTGTGTTTATGGTTTTCATAAAGGATCAGTCATTTGGGTCCCATATGGGACAACTTTGTTGGGCAATGTAATTGCTTCAGAGCCCCCTGCTGGTTTGGCTGAGGCCTTGTCAGGCCTACACCACAATTCAATTTCTCTCTCAGGGCAATTGTGCTTCCTTTCACAAATTTCCCTTTCTTTTACAAGTTTTGATTCTTGACAGACATTCTCCAAACTCTGTCCTAGCATCAGCTTCTGGAGCACTCAAACTGCATCAGGGGTATTGTAGGTAGTAAGAGAGTAAGAGCACATCAGTCATTCAATGCAATCCTTGTATGCAGTTGGTATACATTAAATATTAGCTTCTTATTGTTATAATTAATATTATTATGATGATCAACTATATGGAACACCCTAAAAGCATGGTCCCTGAAACCCAGCATGCTGGTGCTCTCCAAAAGTGTGTTTGGTAAAGATGAAAAGGATAATTAAGTTACTAAAATCCTACCATAATGGGTGATAGTTGAAACAATCAGAGATATTCAATCTAGAGAAAGAAAGCTTTGGAAAGCATCTGGTAGCTGCCTGACAATACTCAAATAGCTGTGATCTGAAAGTGAGATTAGACTGATTCTGAGGGAACCCAGAAGTGAAGACAGGGCCTTGCTGACCTGCATAGCCTCAGGACACTGTTCCCTGCCTCTATGCCACTCTGTCTCCAGCCTTGGCTCAAAGAAGCCCATGTGCAGCGTGGCCCACCACTTCACAGGGTGCAAGCTGTAAGCTTTGGTGGCTCCCGTGTATTTTTTTACAGCAATGCAAGAACAGACTAACACACCTTCATTTTAAAAGTTGCCCAAGAAGAGACGGGCAACTTTGTCAAGGAGTCAAATTGCTTTTGGGCTGTGGGGGAGGAGAATGGTGCTGTAACCCTTGATAATTTTAAGTTTGAAAGTTATTAAACTTAATCATATGTACTGGGGTAGCCCTCCCTGGCCCCTGAGGTGAAACTTACTGGAAGAAAAGTCACGTTCTTTATTCCAAAACTGTTAACACAAGCCTGTCAAAAGGTCCTAGAGAGCTAGCTCAAAGCACAGCCTATGGTGAACTCAGCATTTCTTTCATTATAAGGTGGTCTGTTAAGAGTTTGAGTGGGTGTGTGCTTGTGTGTGTGTGTGTGTGTGTGTATGTGTATATGTGTGTGTCACAGGAGAAGATAAGAATCATATCTTTTTACCCTGGGTTAATGTAGTTACACATTTTCTCTTCCCTCAATTCATGACAATGTCCTGTATCCCCTGTAGTTCTGAAGGTGCTGTGCTGTTGACAACACCCTGGTTATGGGCCTCTCCTCTGTGGACGTGGGCAGGCTATGTGGACAAGCTAGAGAGGATAGTTTCATCATCTGCAGCCAGTTCCAGTTGGTATCAGGGTCAGCTTCTTTGTGGCTGTTTGGATGGAGCAAAGTTACACATAATAGATGTGAATTTATATATGTGTGTTTGTGTGTAGAGAGGGTTGGTGGTAGATGAAAGGATGTATTGTCAAAATAGATATTTCCAGTCCATATCCAAAACTAATTTTTTGTGTCAACATAGGGCCTTATCAAAAAGCCCTTTTGTGAGTTTTCTGAACAAGGATATTCATGTTTTCAGCTGAACGTACTGCTAGGAAAGTCTCCTGAGGTGCAAGGACAGCAGGATATTTCAGGCTATAGTAAATGGCCCACTCTCCTTTCTTTGGTTATATTAATTTGAGAGACTACTCTTGGGTAGTCATTACAAGGTTGTAACACAAAGGATTCAGTCTCTTAGGGAAACTTTTTCCAGTTTCCTATAATGCTTTATGTGGGGAGACCAGAGGTAGTTGTAACACTGAGAAGAGAAAATTTGCCTTTTTCTGCTCTCTCCTGAGAAACTATCACCAAAAAGCCTGGTTTCTATGGCAGCTCACGCCTGGATCACTACAGTACTGCCAGACTCTGATTTTTGGCAGCAACATCAGCAAATACAATTAAGAATGATACATGTCAAGGGGTTGATGAACCTTTCCAGTGTCTTTTCTGTAAGTCACTAATAACCAGAACTGGCCTTTCCTGTTTGAATAAATACCACTGGCCTTCAATGATTTATTACGAAAAGGGAGTGAAACACTAGCAAGAAAAGTAAGACATTCTCTGGATAAGTGGGAGGAGCTCAAAGTGGATTAATTTGAACATTAAGGGGAATATAACCTTATTTTATGAAGTATAGTATGCCAGATAATATTGATTAGGATAAGCTAGCTCATGAAAAAGTCAGGATCATGCATACCATGACATAGGAAGAATCCAATGAGCCTGACTGGATTTCCGTCAAGCCAGATTTCAGACCCAGATTAATATCAACTGCCTTATCAGCAATACTTCATGGGTTTATAGCTCCTTTGTTAGTTTGGGAGTCTTATTCAGGTGTTGAGTGATCCTCTCTAAAGGTGAGACATTCAGCCACAAATTCAATAAATTTCAAGTACAAATATATTTGTTCAAAAATCTCAGCCTAAAAGTCTGCTGGGATGATGAGGAACGAAAGACACAAGGACTTTATTTTGCTAAGCCTAGTGAAAAAGGAAAATGCAAGTTCTCCAGATAGTAATGACATCCCCAATGAGCACTTCAACTACAAAGGAAGCAAAACTGAGTTAAAATTCATATGTCTGCAGGGGCTGATCATGAGACCGTTTGTAGAAAAGCTGGAACAGAAGATGCTGTTTAGCTCTACCTGTAAGGGTCTTGCCAGACATTGTATAAACATTTAACTCAAGGAGGAGCAAGAAATAGTGCCCATTATCTTCTGTGATAACACAGCATCTGATTACTTGTTCTCTCAGATACCCTGCAGTTCAGAGTATTAATTTCTCTATACCTTGAAGTGGCTGATAGCAATATCTTTCAGGTCTTTAATTAAAGGCTAAAAGCTGATTCTAGAATCTCTCCATTGTCTGGAGCTATTCTGATACAAACTCAACTTGCCACAAAGAATCTCTGAAAAAAAAAAAAAAGAAAATGAAAGAGAAAATAGTTGAAAAGAAAAATACCAGGTATTTAATTCAATCTCCATTAAGCTTTCCCTTCACATATAATCTTTGAGTTAGACAGTTCCTCTCCCATAAGGATAACACTTTCTTGTCACTAATCCCTGGATAACACAAGTCAGGGGAAACAGGAAATAGATACAATAATAGATTCGAGTCTCTGGATTTTTCATTTAGCCAATAGTAAGGTAGGAAAGTGGCCAGATAAAAAAATAAAACAGCACAGACAGAAAATATCTATTTGTCCATGGAGAGAACACAAGCACTTGATGGACAGAAGCCCAGAATATACAGGATTGTTTTTTCACACATAAAGCAATATTTTAAATACTCTGTGGTGTATTCATTTTAACTTAATCGAGCAAATGCAAATACATTAAAGAGTCCCATAGCAGCACTATTTTTAATAGCAACAAACAGAAAATAACTTGTTTATACTGTGACTATTATTTAGATATTATAGGTCACTAATTATTTAGATCAGGGGTCAATAAACTATGTTTTGTGGGCCAAATCCCGCCTATAGCCTGTTTTTGTCAAGTTTTATCAGAGTACAGCCATACCCATCAGTTATGTATTATCAATGGCAGAGTTGAATAGTTGTGACAGAGACCAAATATTTCACAAAGCCTGAAATATTTGCCATATGATTCTTTACAGAAAAAAAATCTGACAACCAGCAATATAAATGGTTGCACATATATTCAATGGAACACTCTGTTACAATTAAAAGAATGTAAAAGGTTGGTATATAACAACATAAAAAGATATCGATATCAAGAAAAAATGATTCAAAACAGTGTGTATGTAAGTATTTTCAGATTCCGTTTGCCTAAAAACAAAGCATATGCATATGCATCAAACTTCTGAAAGCATATACACACACAAAAATTTAATAATGATTACCTCTGGTGAATGAAATTAGGAAGTAGGACTGGGGAGAGGGAGAATGAAGAAAGGAGGGAGAATGAAGAAAGGAAAGAGGGAGAAACATTTATTTATATTTAATATCCCTCTATATCATCACAAATTTTAAAATGCCCATGTTATATAATTGAAAATAAACTAAAATGAGAATTATAGAAGCAATAGGAATTTAAGAATATTTTATTTGTAGAATGAATGAATGTAATTCTCAATGATATAATGCCAATTTTCTTTTCTTATGAATGTTTTTGTTGAATGTTTATGTAATATTTCCTGTGTCTTTGACTAAGAGTATGTGTTATCTCTTGCTTAAATATCTATCTGTGATTTTAGTATCACTATTTGCTTTAGATGATTACAACTTACCTCTTCATTAGTGAAGTGAAAAAAATCGCTAAGACATTTTATAACATATTTTTGCTGTGAGGAATTTCACATAATAGTGTTGTTTTCCAATATGATTTATAAAGCGCTATCTTAAACCTCTCGAGTTTTCACACAAATTTAACAATTTTTGGTGTTTCTAATTGTAGAGAAAGATGTTTGATTTGGGACAAATTATTTAAATATTTCATGATTTCTTAATTTGCAGCATAGAAAAATGTTACCTACCTTACCACATAAAATTTTTGTGTTAAGAAGGTTTTTAAGGGTTCCATAAATTATCAATTATTTCAAATATATTTATTTTGGCACAGTTTTAGTGCAATCAAAATGTGGACAGTCACAAGAAGATTTTTGATTGTAAGTGAGTAAGGAATCAATTAAAACAGTGTTCTAGAAGAACTGTAGTCTTGAATTTTAGACTCTTAGACCACAAACGAACCTGGAAAAGTCACACATAAACTGTACAAAATTAGATAATATGGGCTTCAAACAAAAACAACAGCAAGCTCTCTTTCGGTATGAAAACTCTACTTTTTTTTTTTTTTTTTTTTTTTTAAAGAGCCAGTCCTTGTTTTCTTGTCTCTAAAATGTGGATGGTTATACTGTATCTGCTTGCCAAATTCATAGAATTCTTGTGAAAATTAAATGGATTAATTTATGCTAGAGAAATCTATAAATTATAAATCTCTGTACAATAATTTTTCAAAATATGGTATGCAGATAATTTTCAGGGGGGTGACAAAATTTTTATGTTTTAATGATTACATATCTATATTTACTTCTTGTTTATGATGAGTGATATGCTACTTTTATTGTAGCTTCCTTTGAAATTAATGTATGGAGGTAAAAATGTGAGTCAACTTAAAAGAAAAGAAAATTACTAATACTATAGGTAAAATGTGGATATGACAAAAATCGTGATGATGGTATGTGCACAAGCGAAGTTCAGAAAACATTGCATTGTGAAGATATAAATTTGATTTAGATTTTCATATTTTAGTATATGGTTCTCAACTGGCATTGTTTAATTTGCTGTGGTTGCAAACATATTGTGTTAAAACAAGACATATGGAGCTCTTTTACAGCAAAAGAAGAAAGAAATGAAGAAACAGATGCCTGAAGCATTTGGGAAAGTAACTCCACTGCAGCTGAAATACTGGATGTTGCAGGGTCCATTGTCCCAAGTTAGTATAGGTTGCATTGATTTCATTGAAAGAAGAAAAACAACCATAGTTAGAGGACTGAAAAGTATACTTCTAGAGAGAGAGGGCCTGCAACATTTCTGAGAAATTAACTTTAGTTCACATTACCTTAAAAATTACTCTGGAGAAGTGTGATTTCTATGATGAGCACATCCTACTGCATGTCAGATCTGACTTCCCAGACCTGCCAGCCCAGTGAGACACTAAAGCTGCTTGAATTAAGTACAAGTAGCAACTAGGACATGGGTTGGCCTTTGGGAAACCACTTCTGTGTTTACAACCTAATGCTACTGGAATTCTGATTGAACCTTCATGACTTTAGGTGACAAAGGCATACCAAACTCAGGCTGGGAGGAAATGAGTTGGGGCAGTGGTGCCCATCTTCCTCTATGATCTACAAAGCAAAAATGTCATGCCATACCCCAGCAACAAGCTCACCCTCAAACTTCCTCTGATTCCTTTCCTAGTCTGCCCAGTAGACTGTTCCAAGAGAAGAAGTCCCTTCTCCAGGGCACCTGTACATTTTCCCCTCTTGTTTCCTTAAACCTGTGTTCTGCCTGAAAAGAATGCATTTTTTCCGCTCATCCAATTTCATGCCTTAGGAGTGCAAAAGCAAGCTACTGCATTGAAAATTGAGGAATTGATTCCCAGAGTCTCACAAAGCCCTGAAGCAGAGCAGTTCCAGTCTCTGCCCTTCAGTTAGGATATTGGTGCTTCCTGGTTTCTAGTACCTGCCTGTATGACTACTGATTTCTTATGTCTCTGCAAATTCCGGCGATAAGGAATTGCTTATGCAGCAGTTCAGAGGCAAGATGGAGTATCTCTTTCCATTATTTATTTAAAAAATTCTTTGAAGGCTGCCATTTAACCTCAGCAGGGAAGTTAGGATTTTTCACCCGCACATAGTGATTTTATTCCTCTGAAGCCTTATATGAATTATTAAGCTTTTAAGAAAAGAGAGCAAATAGAGTTTTGCAAGGTAATCAAAAGCAAATATGCTAATTTGGGTCTATAGGACAGTATTTTTATCAGAAGGAACATTAAGGTTAGCTCTGTTATTCATCTAAATTAAAGAAATCAAGAAAAAGAACAAGACTAGCAAATTACCTTTACTGATGGTCGAAATTAGCCCTATCTTGGACTCTTTCTTAATAGTCTTTCTCAGCATAAAACCTAGTTACTAGGATACAGCCGTGTGGCAGCATCTTTATTAGAAATTGTGTGGGAGAAAAAAAGGTCAGATACTCATTTCCAGTAACAGTTTGACAAGTAACACGGAGAAAAGGGCAGGAAGGAATTGAGGCTTGTGATGTTTTCTTATAGCAAGATTTTGAGATAATAGCACTTATGTGAATAGGAAGTCTCCAGGAATACATTTTATTAATCTCAGGGTTCAAAGAAAAAGACATGGTACCATATTATCATGAAAATTAAAACAAGCCTAAAAAGATACATAAATATCAGGTAAAGGACAAAAATATCATCATCTGTCACTGTTAAAATTTTTTTAAATCTTAACTCTAGCTATATCCAAAAGTCTTATAATTATATTGATAGAAGTCACATCTTCAATTACCATAATTGGTCAATAGTCAATAGTTAAAGGGCTTAAGCATTACAGAAAACTTTATAAGACCCAGGTGGGTCTCCTAAATCCCACAAAAAGGTCATTATCCCTCTCTGTACTGGTAGATCTTTGTATCAGAATAGAGATATATTTGTAAAATTTGTACTAATGAAAATTTCTTTGAGTTAAACTCCATCTTATCATTGTCTTCTAATGAAATTAAAGATATATTAATAAATTAGTAGGTTTTAATAATCAGAATTATGCCACTTTAGAGACATACTAATACATTTCCAAAATTCACATAAAGATGTCAAACCTCTATGGTTAAAAAGTCTAAGTTATTAACAATTTACTGTGTAACAAAGAAATCAAGACAATAAAAATACCTGACATTTCAGACACTCGGCCTTATCTCTCCTTTCCTGGGCTTCTCCCTATCTTGAGCATTGCTATTGCACACAAAGGCAGAAGGGGCCAGAACAGTGTTGTACAATTTGGCTTCCAATATGCCTGGCATTGAAACTCAGGTCTGTACTAGCTCCCCAGCAATGGTTCTTAACCAGAGCGGAATGGCTGAAATGACAAACATAGGATTCAGAATCTAGATGGCAATAAATCTCACTGAGATTCAGGAGAAAGTTGAAATGCAATCTAAGGAATCTAAGGGATCCACTAAAATGATTCAAGAGATGAAAGACAAAAATAGCTATTTTAAGAAAGAACCATATGGATCCGATAGAGCTGAAAGACTCACTGCAAGAATTTTATTATATAATCCCAAGTATTAACAGCAGGATAGACCAAGCTGTGGAAAGAATTTCAGAGCTCAAATACTGATGCTTTGAATCAACTCAGACAAAAATAAAGAAAAAAGAATAAATAAAAATGAACAAAACCTCTGAAAAATATAAGATTATGTAAAAAGACCAAACCTATGACTCATTGGTGTCCCTGAAAGAGAGGGAGAAACAGCAAGCAACTTGGAAAATATACTTGAGGATATTGTCCACAAAAATTTCCCCAATCTTGCTAGAGAAGTTGACATTTACATTCAAGAAATTCAGAGAACCCCTGAAAGATACAATACACAATGACCATCCCCAAGACACATAGTCATCAGACTCTCCAAGGCCAATGTGAAAGAAAAAATATTAAAGACAGTTAGAGAGAAGGTGCAGGTAACCTATAAAGGGAACCCCTTTAGGTTAACAGTGGACCTTTCAGCAGAAATCCAACAAGCCAGAAGAGATTGTGGGCCTATATTCAGCATCCTTAAAGAAAAGAATTTCCAACCAAGAATTTTATAGCCAGTCAAGCTAAGCTTCATAAGCAAAGGAGAAATAAAATTATTTTTAGACAAGCAAATACTAAGGGAATTTGTTATCACCAGACCTACTTACAAGAGGTCCATAAGGAAGTGCTAAACATGGAAATAGAAGATCATTACCAACCAAAACAAAAGCACACTTAAGTACACAGACTATTGACACTATAAAGCAACTACACAATCAAGTCTACATAACGACAAGTTAACAACATGATGACAGCATCAAATCTACACATATCCATACTAACTTTGAACATAAATGGGCTAAATACTCCACTTAAAAGGCACAGAGTGACAAGTTGGATAAAGAAGCAAGACCCAACTTTATGCTGTTTTCAAGAGACCCATCTCACCTGCAGTGACAACCATAGGCTCAAAGTAAAGGGATAGAGAAAGATCTATCAAGAAAACAAAAAACAAAAAAGAGCAGGGGTTACTAGTCTTATTTCAGACAAAATAGACTTTAAATCAACAATGATCAAAAAGGACAAAGAAGGGCATTATATAATGATAAAGTGTTTAATTCAACAGGAAGACTTAACTATCCTAAATATATATGCACCCAACATAGGAGGACTCAAATTCATAAAATAAGAAGTTCTTAGAGACCTATGAAGAGGCTTAGATAACCATACAATAATAATGGGAGACTTCAAAACCCCACTGACAGTATTAGATCATCAGGGCACAAAACTAACAAAGATATTTGAGACCTAAACTCTACACTTGACCAAATGTATCTAATAGACATCTACAGAACACTCCACCCAACAGCAATAAGAATATACATTCTTCTTATCTGTACATGGCACATATTCCAAAATCAACCACATGCTTGGCCATAAAGCAATTCTCAAAAAACTCAAAACAACTGAAGTCATACCAACCACACTCTCGGACCACAGCACAATAAAAATAGAAATCAATACTGAGAGGAACTCTCAAAACCATACAATTACATGGAAATTAACCTCCTACTGAATGACTTTTGGGTAAACAATGAAATTAAGGCAGAAATCAAGAAATTCTTTGAAACTTTTATCAGTTTCAAAGATACAACATACCAGAATCTCTGGGACACAGCTAAAGGAGTGTTAAGAGAAAAATTTATAGCACTAAATGCACACATTAAAAAGTTAGTTAGAAAGATCTCAAATTAGCAACCTAACCTCACACCTAGAGGAGCTAGAAAAACAAAAGCAAACCAACCTCAAAGCTAGCAGAAAAACACAATGAAAATCAGAGCTGAAATGAATGAAATGGAAATGAGAAAAAACACCCAAAAGAGAAACAAAACCAGAAGTGTCTTTTTTGAAAGAATAAATAAAATTGATTGATAGACAACTAGCTAGAAAAATAAAGGAAAAAGGAGAAAAGCCAAATAGATACAATCAGAAATAATAAAGGGGACATTACCACTGACCCCACAGAAATACAAAATGCCCCTGAGACTATTACAAACACTTCTATACACACAAACTAGAAAACCTAGAAGAAATGGATAAATGCCTGGAAACATACAACATCCTAAGATTGAACTAGGAAGAAATTGAAATCCTGAACAGACCATTAATGGATTCAGAAATAGAATCAGTAATAAAAAAACCTACCAAACAGAAAAAGCCCTGGACCGGACATATTCACAGCTGAATTCTACCAGATGTATAAAGAAGAGCTGGTACCATTCCTACAAAACCTAGTCCAAAAACTGAGGAGGAGGGACTCTAACTCATCGTATGAGACCAGCATCATTCTGATACCCAAACGTATCAGAGACACAATGAAAAAAAGAAACTTCAGGCCAATATCCCTGATGAACATAGATGCCAAATCCTGAACAAAATACTAACAAACTGAATCCAGCAGCGCATCTAAAAGCTAATCCACCATGATCAAGTGGTGGATTCCTTTTGGGATTCAAGGTTGGTTCAACATACACAAATTAATCAATGTGATTCATCACATAAACAGAACTAAAAACAAAAACCATGTGATTATCTTAATAGATGTGGAAAAGGCTTTTGATAAAATTCAACATGCCATCATTTTAAAAACCCTCAACAAACTAAGCATCAAAGGAACATATCTCAAATTAAGAGTCATGTATGACAAACCCACAGCCAACATATACTGAGTGCACAAAATCTGAAAGAATTCCTCTTGAGAACTGAAGCAAGACAAGGATGCCCACTCTTACTACTCCTATTCCACATAGTACTGGAAGTCCTACCACAACAATCAGGCAAGAAAGAGGTGTAAAAGGCATCAAAATAGGAAGAGGGAAGTTAAACTACCTCTCTTCACAGATTATATGATTCTTTACCTAGAAAACCCCATATCTCTGCCCAAAAGCTCCTATACTATAGCTATCTGATAAACAACTTCGGCAAAGTTTCAGGATATAAAATCAATGTACAAAACTCAGTAGCATTTCTATACATCAGTAACTTCCAAGCCAAATAAAGAACATAATCCCATTCACAATAACCACAAAAAGAATAAAATACCCAGGAATACTAACCAGGGAGGTGAAAGATCTCTATGATGAGAATTACAAAACACTGCTCAAAGGAATCAGAGATGGCACAAGCAAATGGAAAATCATTCCATGTTCATAGATAGGAAGAATCAATATTGTTAAAATGGCCATACTACTCAAAGCAATTTACATATTCAGTGCTATTCCAATCAAATTAACAGTGGCATTTTTTCACATAATTAGAAAAAAACTATTCTAAAATTCATATGGAATTTTAAAAAAGTCTGAATAGCCAATACAATACTCAGCTGAAAGAATAAAGCCAGAGCCATCACATTACCTGACTTTACTATAAGGCTACAGTAACCAAAATATTATGGTACTGGTACAAAAACAGACACATAAACCAATGGAACAGGTTAGAGAACCCTGAAATAAAGCTGCACACCTACAACCATATGATATTCAGCAAAGCTGACAACAACAAGCTCTGGGGATAGGACTCCCTATTCAACAAATGGTGCAGGGATAACTGGCTAGCCATATGTAGAAGATTGAAACTAGGCCATTTACTTTCACCATATTAAAAACTCAACTCAAGACGGATTAAAGATATAAATGTAAAACCTAAAACTATAAAAACTGTACAAGAAAACCTGGGAAGTACCATTCTGGACATGAACCCTGGCAAAGATTCCATAGTGAAGACTTCAAAATCAATCGCAAGAAAACTAAAAATTGACAAGTGGCACCTAATTAAAGAACTTCTGCACAGCAAAAGAAACTATCAACAGAGAAAACAGACAACCTACAGAATGGGAGAAAATATTTGCAAACTGTGTACCCAACAAAGGTCTAATATCCAGATTCTAGAAGGAACACAAATCAACAAGAAAGCACAAACAATCCCATTAAAAAAAATGGGCAAAGGGCATGAAAAGACACTTCTCAAAAGAAGACATATATAAATGCAGCCAACAAGCATCTGAAAAAAATACTCAACATCATTAATCATTAGAGAAATGCAAATCAAAACCCCAATGAGATATCATCTCACACCAGTCAGAATGCCTATTATTAAGTAAAAAAAAAAAATATGCTGGTGAGATTGTGGAGAAAAGGAACGCTTATAGACTGCTGGTGGGAATGTAAATTAGTTCAGCCACTGTGAAAAGAAGTTTGGAGATTTCTCAAAGAACTGAGAACTAGCATTTAACTTGGCAATCCCTTTATTGGGTATATACCCAAAGGAATATAAATCATTCCACCATAAAGATACATGCACATGTATAGTTCACTGGAGCACTACTTACAATAGCAAAACCATGGAGTCAACTTAAATGTCCAAAAGTGGTGGACTTGATAAAGAAAATGTGATACATATATACTGTGGAATACTATGCAGCCATAAAAAAGAATTAAATCATATCTTTTGCAGTAACATGCATGAAGCTGCAGGCCATTATTCTAAGCTAATTAACACAGGAGCAGAAAACCAAATACTGCATGTTGTCACTTGTAAGTGAGAGCTAAACATTGACTACATGGACACAAAGAAGGGAAAAATAGACACTAGGGCTTACTTGAGGGTGGAGGGTGGGAAGAAGAGATAGGAGATTAAAAAATCTACCTGTGAGGTACCATGCACATTACCTGGGTGACAAAATGATCTGTAGGCCAAACCCCCCCGACATGAAATTCACTCATGTGACAAACCTGCATATGTACACCCTGTTCATATAAATAACTTGGAAGAAAAAACATACAGGTAAATATTATTTAAAACTGTAACTCAGGTCCACCAATTTATTAGCTGTGCGACCTTGGGAGGATCACATAACTCTTCTGAGGCTCAGTTTGTTCAACTGTAAAATTGATTGAACAGTTTTCAGGCTCATTATGACAATGAATGAGATTCTGTATTTAAGTGGTAGGTATTTAATTAATATTAGCTGTTACCAACACTATTATTACTACAGTTTTGGGAAGGAGCCAGCAAGAACAGTCCTCTTCCCTGACTAAAGGTGGAACCAACTGAGGAAAAGACTTCTTTGTCTATTTCTAATGATTCCTCTGTAAATAAAATGTACCAAACCAGTCACCAACACAGCTGGACAGGGACAAGACTCTTACCTTGGAAAGAGGATAGGGATAGAGTAGAACATACCATCCCACTAGACAGGGATGCTTCAGAAGAGAGAGAGCCCAGAGGACATCAGTCATGCATTCACAGATGCTTCTAAACTCACCTATTCCTTCTACCCTGGAAGTGTGAACAAGGGGGATGAGAAAAGCTGAAATCCCTCCAGGTGGAAACACAAGAGGTAGGGGCATTGAGATTTCTCCCTAAATATTATTATGAGCTTGATGCCAATGATTTTAGGAAATTGATGATTTTATAGCTTAAAAATTTTATTACTACAATACTTGTATATTTATAATTTAGTGTGTGCATATATATATATATATTTATTTCATATATATATATATATATATATAATTTCTCATTCCTTCTCCTTTGATATTTTTTCTACTGTGGTAAATTGAACTATTTGACTCCCAATTATTACCTTTTTCCCACTAAAAAATTACATGTTGACTGGGCGCAGTGGCTCACACCTGTAATCCCAGAACTTTGGGAGGCTGAGATGGGTGGATCACGAGGTCAGGAGATCAAGGCCAGCCTGGTTAACGTGGTGAAACGCCGTCTCTACTAAAAATACAAAAAAATTAGCCAGGCGTGGTGGTGGGCACCTGTAGTCCCAGCTACTTGGGAGGCTGAGGCAGGAGAATGGCATGAATCCAGCAGGCAGAGCTTGCAGTGAGCCGAGATCGCACCACTGCACTCCAGTCTGGGCGACAGAGTGAGACTCCATCTCAGAAAAAAAAAAAAAAATTCACGTTTACCCTTTGCCACAAATTTTGTATTACCTTCCCCATAGGTGGAGTATACTTTTCCATCCCATTAGCTTTGTCCATGGCCATTTGACGTGGGTTGGTCAGTGGAACGGTTGTAGATGTGAGGCAAGCAGCATCTGAACAGAAGCTTTAAATGAGCTTGTGTGATTTTTCTCCCTTTACCCTTAACATTTCCCTCTACCATGGGAACACCATGCCCTAGGCAGTGGCCACTACTTAATTCTGGATCTCGGGACAAGTAGCCATACAAGAATGGCCCACTGGACCTAGTGCAGCCCAGTGAAGTCCATATCTGGTTACCTATGTAACCAACATGTCTGCAGCTGACCTGCATCACTCATGTAAAGGAATAAATATTGTAAGCTACTATAATTTTTGGGTTGTAAGTAGCATAACACAATTGACTAAACAGTACACCATTTGTTCTTAACAGAGTCTTGACCAGACAGCTTGAAGGGTCATGATCTCAGATGAGAGGCAAGGAGAGCAGTCAAAGCTCAGGACTAGCTCATACAAAACCTGTGCAAGTGTGCTGTGTCAGTCCCACACCTAGTAACCTGTTCCTAGCATAATGGTGACAGCCAGGTTTCTCACTGAGACTATTAACACTTTTTGTGTTTGACAAGAGTAGGCAAGGTCAAACACTGGCCAGGTGCTGAAGTGTTACATATACTGCCAGAAGCAGCACCATTCATACATACATTCCAAAGGAGGGTTTTCTTAAAGTGAATCTCCTTAAGTTCTAGTAAGTGCATGCCAGTCACAGGTATATTAAATTGTCTTAGCCCTCTTGCATAATATAATGTAACATGTAAACATTACAAATGTGCAATTGCAAAGTGGATTATCGCAAATAGACTAAATCTTATTACAATAAAACATTATAATGGAGTGCTTATGACCCTAAAGATTTCTAAAACCTAATAATGGCCAATTTATTTTGAGAAATATTAAAATAAAATTTGATGCTTTGTTGCTTTGTATAGTGGAATTTAACTAACTTTTTTTTTCCTTTTGTGGGGGCAATGTACAGCAGAGTGACTAAAGGTGCAGGCTTTTAATGAGCTAACAGCAGTCATTTCAAGTCCTGGCCACTCCATGTCCTAACTTTATATTCTTGGGCAAGCCACTTACACTGAGCGGTGTTTCACTTTCCCCATCTACAAAGTAAGGAAAACAGAAACTTCCATAACAACGTTGTAATAAGGACTGTATGAGAGTATATATGGAAAGCATTTATCCCACTGCTAGAATATTGTAAGCACTAGATATTTGTAGACATATTTTTACTGTCATTCTTGCCATGAATATGTGTAAAGCACAAGCAACATTCAGTCTTTTTTAAAGTTTCAGCTTTTCATACTTCCAAATGATAAAATGTGCATAAAATTTTATCAAAAACCAGAATCCTCCTATCATAACAGGAAAAATATGGAGAAAAAGGAAATTCTGTTTTGTTTTGACAAAAGACAAGGCAATAATTTCCGTAAATATTCAACAACTGGCATTGGAACATTTCACAATGTCACTGCAATTTAGTAATAATTATACTAGTTACACTGTATAGCACTTAATCTTTTTAAGATATTTTGCCAACTGCTTTTTTAATCCTCATAGCTATTTTATTATAGAAGTTATTTACATGTGTCATATCCTTGCTATCATTCTCTATCAAAATTAATGATGTTTTTACAAATAATCAATATTGAAAACTTCCACATCAGATACTATCAATGTTTTATATTTTTCTTCACACCTACTTCACTTTCTTCTAGAAGCTTGGATTTTTAATAAGAACAACCTAGATTTAAGCTAGCTCATTTCTTTAAAACTTTCTGTTATTTGATATAAATCATATAAAGAAAAATATGAAAATATTAATATGAATACTCACGTATGCACACCCAGATTTTTTATACTTAACATTTTTCCATGTTTGGCTTTTTAAAAAAACAAAAAACCAGAAATAAAGCTGAGGTCCTTTGTGTAACTTTCCTTCTTTTCTTTCTGCTATTCTCTAAATGCACCTGCTCTTCCTGAATTTGCTATAGTTTTTCATTCTTTTAAACTGCATGGAAATGTTACATATATTAATTATTATGATACAAATTCCATTTTTTCTCAATATCTTATTTGGAAATTTATTGATGTTCACTATTGTAGAGCTACACTGTCCATCTGAACTGTTATATAATATTCCTTTGAGCAAATGACAGTTCATCTATTTTCAGATTCATGGTTGTAACTGTTTGCAATTTAGCAGATACTGTTTTTTGCTCTTATACCCTTGGCACTCACTTCTCCAGATTGAAGGCTGCTTCCTGTGGACACCTGCAGCACTCTGCTGAAAGGTGTCTGTTCTGGCATGCTCAGAGCACACTCAGCTCACTTGCAGGGCAAGTTGAAATGCCAGAGAGACTGAAGCAGCTTTCATTCAATGATAGGCCAGGATTTGGTGGATAAATACCCTACCTGTTTTTACACCTATTGTGAGACAACTCTGAGGTATTTTCCCCACCAGTACTTGCCTCACATCCCATGGTGATAATTTGTTGATTCTGCACCCTTGGGTTTCCTGCCTTTTCCTATCTCATATCTCCACTTCCCCACTCATCCTTTTCTGAGATCACCTCCCAAATAAATTATAGGCATACCTTGGAAATATTACAAGTTTGGTTCCAGACCATCACAATAAAGCAAATATCACAATAAAGATAGTCAAATGAATTGTTTGGCTTCCCAATGCATTGAAAAGTCATGCTTACACTATACTGTAATCTATTAAGTGTTGATTATTGATTATAAGACATAATCAATAGCATTATGTCTAAAAATAGACATACTTTAATTTAAAATACCTTATTGCAAAAAAAAAATGCTAACAATCATTGGAGCCTTCAGCAAGTAGTAATCTTTTTGTTGGTGGAGGATGTTGCCTCAATGTTGATGACTTCTGATGAGTAGGGTGGTGGTTACTGAAGGTTGGGGGTGGTGGGGGTTGTGGCAATTGCTTAAAAAAAGGCAACAATTGCGGCTGGGTGTGGTGGCTCACGCCTGTAATCCCAGCACTTTGGGAGGCCGAGGCGGGCAGATCACCAGGTCAGGAGATCGAGACCATCCTAGCTAACACAGTGAAACCCTGTCTCTACTAAAAATACAAAAAAATTAACCGGGCGTGGTGGCGGGCGCCTGTAGTCCCCAGCTACTTGGGTGGCTGAGCCAGGAGAATGGCGTGAACCCGGAAGGCGGAGCTTGCAGCGAGCGGAGATCGCTCCACTGCACTCCAGCCTGGGTGGCAGAGCAAGACTCCTTCTCAAAACAAACAAACAAACAAAAAAGAGGCAACAATGAAGTTTTCCACATCAATTGACTCTTCTTTACATGAAAGATTTTTGTGTGGTATATGATACTATTTGACAGCATTTTATGCACAGTAGAACTTCTTTTAAAATTGGATTGAGTCCTCTCAAAACTGGCTTCTGCTTTATCAACTAACTTTATGGAATAGTTTAAATCCTTGATTGTTATTTCAACAGTATTCACAACATCTTCCCCAGATGCTATTCTTGATATTCTTGACATGCCATCTCAAGAAACCACTTTCTTTGCTCATCCATAAGAAGCAACTCCCAATTTGTTCAAGTTTTATCATGAGATTTCAGCAATTCAGATACATCTTCAGGATCCACTTCCAATTCTGGTTCTCTTGCTATTTCCACCACACCTGCAGTTACTTTCTCTACTGAAGTCTTGAACCCCTCAAAGTCATTCATGAGGGTTGGAATGAACTTCTTCCAAACTCCTGTTAATGTTTATATTTTGACCTCTTCCTGTGAATCATAAATGTTCCCTTTGGCATCTAGAATTGTGAATCCTTTTCAGAAGATTTTAACTGACTTTTCCCAGATCCACCAGAAGAATTACAATCTATGTCAGCTATGGTCTTACAAAATGTATTTCTTAAATAATAAGGCTTGAAGTTGAAATTATGCTTGATCCATGGACTGCAGACAGATCTTGTGTTAGCAGGCATGAAAACAAGATCAATTTCTTTGTATATGTCTATCAGAACTCTTGGGCAACCAAGTGTATTGTCAATGAGCAGCAATATTCTGAAAGGAATTATTTTTTTCCAAGCATTAGATCTCAGCAATGGGCTTAAAATATTCAGTAAACCATGCTTTCAACAGATGTGCTGTCATCCAGGCTTTTGTCCATCTATAAAGCATGGTAGAGTAGAGTTAGCATAATTGTCAAGGGCAATAGGATTAGCAGAATGGTAAATGATCATTGGCTTCAACTTAAAGTCACCACCTGCATTAGACCCTAACAGGAGAGTTCATCTCCATTGAAAATCTGTTTAGTGTTGCAACCTGCAAGAATAACTTTAGCCTGATCTGAATAATTTGCTATAGCTTCTATATCAGCACTTGCTGCTTTACATTGCATTTTTTATGCTGTGGAAACAGCTTCTTTCCTTAAACTTCATGAACCTCTGCTATGTCAAACTTTTCTTCTGCAACTTCTTGACCTCTCTCTACCTTGATAGAATTGAAGAGAAGTAGGGCCTTGCTCTGGATTAGGCTTTGGCTTAGGAGGATGTTGTGGTTGATTTGATCTTTTATTGACAACTAAAACTTTCTCCATATTAGTAATAAGATTGTTTCACTTTTTTATTATTTGTGTGTTTACTGGAATAGCCCTTTTAATTTTATTCCAGAAATTTTCCTTTGTATTCATAACTTGGCTGTTTGGTGCAGGAGGCTCAGTTTTCAGTCTACTTTGGCTTTTGGCATACCTTCCTCAAAACTAAACTTAATCCTTTCTAGATTTTTATTCAAAGTGAGAGATGTGCAACGCTTTCTTTTTCTTGAACACTTTCTTGAACACTTGAGACCATTGCAGGGTTATTAATTGGCCTAATTTCAACATTGTTATGTCTCAGGGATTACAGAGGCCCAAGGAGAGGGAGATGAGGGAATGGTTGGTTGGTATAGCAATCAGAATATATACAACCTTTATTAATTAAGTTTGCTGTATAATATGGGCACCATTAATGGGACCCAAAAACACAACAATAACATCAAAGATCACTTATCACAAATCACTATAAAAAATAATAATGCAAACGTTTGAAAATTATAAGAATTACCAAAATATGTCACAGAGACACAAAGTGAGCATACATTGGTGGGAAAAATGATGCTGATGAACTTGCTTGACACAAAGTCAAATTTGAAGCCCAGGGATCAGTGGAATTTGAAATACAGGAGTCAAAATCCAGCCTGCCACCTGTTTTGTAAAGCCAGTGAGCTAAGAATGGATTTTGTATTTTTAAAAGATTGAAAAGAAGACTAATTATCTTCGTTTTTTGCCACTATAATAAAATAGCATAGACTGAGTAACTTATAATGAACAGGAATTTATTTGGCTCATGGTTCTGGAGGCTGGGAAGCCCAAAATCAAGAGCCACATCTGGCGAGGGCCTTCTTACTGTATCATAACATGGAGGAAATGAGGAAGACATCACACTGAGAGGGAGCAAGAGACAGCCAAACTCGCTTTTATGACAAACCTACTCTTGTGATAATAAATGCACTCCAATGATAGCAACATTAATCCATTCATGAAGGCAGAGCCCTCATTACCTAATCACTTTTTAAAGGTCCCACTTCTCAACACTTTTGCAATGGGGATTAAATTTCCAACACATGAACTTCAGAGGACGCATTCAAACCATAGTACTAATTTTTCATGACACACAAAATTGTTTTAAATTAAATTTTTACTGTCCATAAGTAAGTTTTTGTTGGAGTTCAGTCATACTCATTTGCTTATTATCTGTGGTCATTTCTGCACTGCTACAACACAAATAAGTAGTTGCTACAGAGACTCTACGGCCTGCAAAGTTTAAAATATTTATTATCTAGATCTCTGCTGAGAAAGTTCACTGATCCTTGCTCTAGGCTATATATTTAGAAGTAGAATTTCTATGTTAAAGATAATGCATATAAATAAATAAATAAATATTTAAACATTATATATATAATATAAAATAAGAATATTTATATTATATAGATATATACTATAAACTTTGCCAAATTGCTCTCCAATGTAGTTGTTCCAACTTATACTTCCACCTACCAGGAGCATTTGTGTGTTTTCACTTCTTTGTATTCTCACCAGGATTTTTTTTTTTTAGCTCTTTTCTAACACTTGCTAAACTATCTTTTTAACCAAGTAAATATTCATGTCTCAGGCTCCTTTAAAGACAATGGTATCTAGAATTGTTTCACTTTAAAAAAAATATTTATTTTTATGGATTACCTTTAAACTTGTGACAAATGATATTGGCTTCCTCTTAGGGGGTGATAGTTTCCTTTTAAAAAATTTTAAGGAAAAAGAATTAGTCAATTAAAAGATAAACGTTAAGTGTATGATAGTAAAGTGATATCCAGATGTAGTGAAACCATAAAGATGGATTCTGAATGATTGAAATTTGTGACTCAGTGAAGCAGTGGAAACTTGCAATCTGTATTTTAATTGTGGATCAATCATTTGCCAGTTGTGTGTTCTTGGAAAAATTATTTATACACTCTACATTTCAGTAAAATGAAGATAACTGCTAAAGCTTCCCTATTTCTTTCATAGTGTTCTTTTGGAGATCTATTGAGATTATAAATGTAGGGTACAATGTAAAAGTAAGACATTGTTCTGTTGTACCATCTCCAGGTGGTGCCTGTATCACAACCTCCCTGAAGTTTCTACTGTTCTCCCCAAAGACAATGGACATGGTCCACTTTTGGTGTTTGGTTTTGCTCACATTGATAACTCTGTCAATAGCACTAACTCCACACTCTCCATTTCTGCTAGTAGAAATTCTATTGACTGTTCATTAGCCTTTTTCTATTAAGTGTTCCCCAGATTCTATTCCCTCTTGTCATGTTACATGTCTTCTTCCAGTAAATCTTCATATCATTTAAAGATATTCTCTGACAACATGGAATATATTTCACTGTTTATTCATTGGACTGCTTATGCATTATGAACATAGATGTTGTACTCCTTTGGCAGCTTCTTCAGACCTAGCATAGTTTCTTGCACAAAATAGTAGCAATGAATATATATTGACCTTAATTTCTTTTATAAGGATCCATTATCCCTTTTAAAAGTATGTTTGCCCCAATTTTGCCTACATGGCTGAAAATATGAGGCCTTAATGTGGTGTACAGGGTCCTCTAAGGTTGACCTCATCCTACCTCTTCAGGCTTATCTTATAATAGCCTGTCTTCTCTCTCTCTGCTTCAGCTGCACTGACCTACCAGTCCCCCAAACATGCATGCTCCTTCAGCAGCAGGGCTTTGGCACATTTTGCTCTGAGTACATAGGACAGTCTCAAATTTCCTTTCATTTATTAATTTTTACTCACTTTTCAGACTTGATTTCAGTGGTGTCTTCTCCAGGGAAGCCTTGCTGTATCTCGACTATGCCAGATTCCCCTCTTGCATGCCCTGATAGCACTAGACTATTCATTGGCAGCATTCATCATAGTGGCAACTTTACATTTATTTATGTGATTATCTGGTTAATGTTAATCCTACCTGTTAAGTCTTGAGCTTCATGAAGACATGGGAATATTTGTTTTTCCTCACCATTGTATCTCTTGCATCTAATAACATGGTACATTGTAAATGCTCAATAAATGTTTGTTGGATGTTTGACTGAATGACTAATGAGTCGCTCTATTCCCTGCAAAATCAAATCAAACATAGTGTCCTTTCTTGCTCCCATCTTCCATGATCAGCAAGAAAATACATACGATCAACGGCATAAAATGAGCTTTATCTACTCTAGCCAAGTCATTTGGGAAAACTTCCAGGGTGTCAAGACACCAGTCATTGCTTCCAGGAATCAGTGACTCCCTGAAACAGTTGTTAGTGACCTGCTATTACTGAACCCCTGCCCCTTGAAAGCTATATCTTCCCCAAGCAAATGCCAGAATGCTTTCTGTGATAGCTGGACTCCAGCTGCAGTCCTCTCTAAATATATCCATGTGCCATTTTACCTTAAATTTCTATCTAAAAATAATCAGGTTGTTGAACCACAGCAGAATAATACACAATTTAAATTCAGTTGCCAAGCAGCACATTTTTGCTTAAGAACAGGCAATCATGCACTTGGTTTCTGACATAAAAAGACCTGTCTTGCTGTAAAGCATGAATTACAGATAACCCTTGAACATTACACATCAAACCTGACACTAAGGGCAGCCTCCATATATATATACATATGTATGCAATTATTATTTAAACTCTATATTTTAAAAGCTTCCTTTATAGCCAACAACAGTAGACTTTATCACCACTTATTAGTTTTAATACAATGACAATATATTATGGCAGAGAGGATTTTAAAAAGTACTTTTCTTTTTGCCACTTCAGTAAATCATATTCTTCTAACTCTGACCCCAATCTCTTTTTTTTAGAATTTCCAAAGTGTTCCAAGAGGTTGTATTTGAGTGAAGATAAAATATAGTGACTTCAAGGTGCCATGTTTACATATCTTTATTTTAAATATCCTCACAGTATAGCTCTGGCAAGGACACGGTCCATGAACAGATGTCGGCATTTGATAGGATATAAACAACAACAACACCACTTCTCATGTTGAAACTCGGCCAAGGCCTCTTTCAGCAACAACATCTACTGTCTCTCTACAACCCTGTTAGCCCGTGTGTGCTACTTAGGGCCACACAATTGAACCATAGGGAATCATCTTTTCCAAGATTTCATTGTGGACAGATACTTACCTGTCTTGATGTAAACTTACCTCTTTAACTTTTGGAGCCCGAACAAAACAAATACTTGAAAGAACAAATACTTGCTTTTAACCAGAGGAAATGATCAAGCAAATGGCCTGGATAATATAGCAGCGAGTACTTGTTTAGTCACCGACCTAATCAGGGAGAGAAATTATTACAGAAAATGTTAATATGTAGTTCTGGATTTTCTAAATTAATGAAGACTCTCATTTCCAATTTCAAAGAGTGCTGTTGGGTATCATTTGTGTTTAACGCCACATTGTTGCTGGGTTGGTAGTGGATTGGCACTGAAATGAAATACAGAAAATGTGCCAGTGAATACCAGAGTGGCCCAGGAAAAAGAGCGCCAATAGAACATCTGGGTTAGAGATACAGCTGCTTTGGGGAAGGCTCTTATCCTTGTAGATTGGGTGATAAAATTCAGTGACTCAGAACTTATATTACTATGTGTTTCCCAATAACTTTCTAACACAGTGTTAGGGTAAGGCTGCCAGGCCTGCTATTTATGGTGGAACCATTTGTGTTTCATTTTATTTTGCTTGATTGCTTCCATTGTGTTGTAATAAAACTTGCACAGAAGTTTTGATAAAGAAGACATCTTAATATTTTTAATAGTGCACTTCACATTTTTATTGAAAATTGAGTGTGTGTCAATATAAAACTCGTGTTGTGCTTAATTTTGTTTGGTGGAACAAAGAAACATTGATGTGAAAAGGAGTTTTTAACTACAAAGTGATATATCGCTAGCTCAACAGTGGTTATTTCTGGCTGGAAAGTTTTGAATGATTTAAAATTATTCCTTTTTCTCTGATTTCTAAATGCCTTACTTGTATTATAAAAGTGCACACACATACATGTATGTGCATGTACATGTGTGCATATATACATATACAGATATATTTAAGTGGATATTTTCCTTAGGCAGAGGTGTTATTTCAAAAGAACATGATATTTTCACCCTCCAAGATTCTATCTCAGAAGTGTGTGTTTATGAGGTAGGAGAAATGAAGAGAAGGGGAGAAAGGGTGGGACAGAGCAAAGCAGAAAACTTCATCTCTTGTCTGTAGCTGTTGTCTGCAGGTAGGTCTTTTGCTTTCCATTTTTCTCTTGGGTCCCATGTGGCTTGGTTATAGAAATGTCACTTTTGCAACTATGAAATTCAGGACAGGAGAAACTAAATAACGTGACATTCTGATGACTTCCTGGGAGCCATGTGCTTTGCTGCCTGAGGCTGCAACAAAGACCTTCCACTTGTGTGCATCATAAATCTTACTTTGGGAAGTCTGAGGTTTGTTGGTGTTGTGGACATTGTTGTTTGCCTAGTGTTTATTTAGGAATTGGGTGGCCATATGGTTCATCTCTTCTTTAGCTGCAAGGAGTAGAGATACTGCACATTTTCTTGTCTAAGTCAGTTATGTGATTCTGTTCCCCTTGCCAGTGATTGGTGTGAGGTGGGCATGTGACACAATGATGGCCAGTTAGATAGAAATGGAAGTTCATTGGGGGGTGTATAAGTCCGTTCTCATGCTGCTATAAAGAAATACCCAAGACTGGGTAATTTATAAAGAAAAGAGGCTTAACTGACTGACATTTCCTTATGGCTGAGGAGGCCTCAGGAAACTTTTAATCACAGCAGAAGGCACCTTTCCACAGGGCGGCAGGAAGGAGAATGAGTGCCAGCAAGGGAAATGCCAGACGCTTATAAAACCATCAGATCTCATGAGACTCACTCATTATCACGAGAATAGCATGGGGGAAACTGCCCCCTTGTTCCAGTTACCTCCACCTGGTCCCACCCTTAACACATGGGGATTATTACCATTCAAGGTGATATTTGGGTGGTGACACAGAGCCAAACCATATCAGAGGGCTTTGGGAAGTTTTTTTTCTGAATGTTAAAGATGGGATATACAACACTGATGTATGCTTTTTTTTTTTCTTTACTTGAATGTTGTGTGAAGATGAGAACCTCAGAATTGCTGCAGCCATCTTGCTACCAAGGCAGAACAAATGAGAAAGTCAGTATGCTAAGGAAGGCAGCTGAGGAAGGAAGAAAAATCTTGGGTTCCTGTTGACATTGCTCTGTCCCTGAAATCTTCTACCTCTGAATTTCTTGTTATGAGGCAATAAACACTCCAATTCTTTATCTCCTTTTTTTGTTGAATATCTAAACTTAGAGCCAAAATCATCCTAGCTGGTTTAACCTATAATCAGATTTCAAAATGAAAATGAGTTTTTCCCCTTCTTATAGGGGATAAATAACTCAGAAAAGTGAAAACTGCTACTTAGATAAATGCGGCATTTATACCACCTCTTATTCACTTTATGTACACACACACACACACACACACACACACACAGAGACACACACACACATACAAATCCTGCCAAGTGCTTTAACATGACTGTTCAGTGCCTTGCTCACATTTGGATTAAGAGTTTGGAATTAATTTAAATATCCACCAATATGAGTATAGTTAAATATGGTATATAATAGATAACGGAATAGCAGGCAATAAAGAGCATAAGGTAGATCTACATGAATTTTATCTGTAAAAGTCTTTAATATATATATTTAGTGAAAAAAGCAAGTTGCATACCTATGTACACAATATTTCACATTTGTGCCTATGTATAAATGTTAAATGATATTTTCATTTATATGTTTATTAATAGAAAAAGTTCTAGAAGATTTAACAACAAATGGATGGTGGTCATTACCTTTGGGAAAGGAGCAAGACTGAGGGATGTAAAGCGGTATTTTTAATTTTTACTCTATATATTTAAGTAACATTTGAATTTTTATTGAAATAATTTATTCATGTTCTATTTACATAATTAAAAGCATAAACAATTCACAGGTTTTGTCAAAATATTTTCAATTCATTTTGCCCTTGTGATGTCACTTCCTACCTAGTCCATCAAACAAAAATATTCATACATAATTTACTTTCTTTTTTATTAATATTTTGAACAATATATAGGTTTATGCTTTTTATTTTTTTTTCCTGTGGAGCACATACCACTCTCCCATCCCCCAACGCATACCTTCTAGGACCACATCGCCCTTTTGTAGGACTTCTCTAGTGTGTAGAATCTAGAAAGGATGGGTGTTCCCTGACTTCAGACTTCCACTTCTGGTCTTTAGTCTGCAGGGCTGAATCCTTAGTTCAGCCAGGAGTCAGAAGTGCTTTTTTCTGGGACTTTTATGTGAGTGATTCAGATGGAAAGAATGTTTGGCGTCAGATCGGTCACAGAAGAAACTCGAGGACCAGACCTTCCCTGTGGTGGGACACGAATCCTGCCTATGCTGTGCAGCCTACTGACCCGTTTGAGTTTCTGTCTGCTCTCCAAGCCTGGTCCTGGGAGTCCTTGATAGCCTTCTAAATCACTCATTTTTTTTTTCCTTTGGATAGCTGAGTTTACTTTTCTTGCTTTCCGCCAAGAACTGACTGATATAACTAAGATTAAATAAAACAAACATGTCTTGTTTTTTTCTATGTGAGATGATAAATAATCACTAGGAACTTCCTATGGGAAAAGACTATAGAATATGAATGTCCTCAGCAAAGTTTTAATTTGTGATTTCTGCAGCAGCAAGCCAGCTCTGGGTCTTTCTCTATTTAATCATAGTAATGATGATGCATTGTTCTTTTACATCCATCAGGCTGCTTTCACCTTTGGTTACATGGGGAAGGAACAGAAGTCCTAAAGATAATAAATGGAAATATTTTTTCACCTGGAGTTTAACTCTTTTAAAAAATTATATTTGTAACCTGCTTTACAGTGATTGATTATAGATCTATAGAATGGTTGCCATTGAATTTAGTCTCTGAAGAGAATTCAGTAATTATCTAGGAGCATTCCCTCAATTTATAGCTAAGAAGCTGAATCCCCCAGTAGTTAAGAGACTTACCCAAATCACATAGCAACTTAAAGGCACAAAATTAGGCTTAAAATTCATGACTTCTGAATCTTAGTAAAAAATTCTTTCTCTAGATGTCACTCTCCAAAGATTTCATGATTTAAACAAAAGGAATGATGAATGAAATAGCCACTTTTCTTTGAAAAGAATAGTAAATAAATTCATAATAATACTTTTTGGACTATGGCTAAATAATATTCCACTCAGTATTTGCTTCAATTACCACCTATGTTGCTTTGATTAGCATGTCTGGTAAACTCTGTCTTTAGATAAGAAATAGAAAAAAGTGGAATACATTTTTGGATGATTTTTTATCCCCTCTTTTTCTTAATTATACATCTTAAATATATTCTTTTTCTTACTATATTGAAGGTGGTTACATAAGCAGAAAACGCATGTCTGATATATCACCATTCTTTCTGAATGCGTGACTTTTGCCTGGAGCCCTGCAGAGTGCAGCTAACTGGGAAGTTTTAGTGCTCCGGGGACAGTTGCTATATCTCCAGGCTTGGCTATTTCATATTATGTTTCCTTTCTGTGTGTGTCTTGCCTCCTGAATGAGATTGTGCTCTCAGGGGGCCTTTAGCAAATTAGTTTTGGTGGCTTAACTTTCATTCAACATATATGCACCGAGCATCTACAACCTGTGCTGTGTACTGTGGTAAGAATTAGTGGCACAAGTAGGAGAAAAACCTCCTGCCCTCAGGGAACCAACACTCTATTCAGAGCAATGTGTATTTTAAAGTGACAGATGATAAGAAATAATACACAATTAAACAAAGTAGGATACTGAGCTCTCTTAAAAATTTATTATTATATCCTTAAGAACTGAGATTAAGAAGTTCTGTTAAGACATTCTAACTAGTACTTTGGGCAGCCTGGAGGGGACTCTCCAGCAGCCTGCAAAGACAATTATGCTGGTAAGTAAGACAAAATGTATTCCTGTGAATAATTAAAATAATTAAACTGTTTCTAATGTACATTAGTCATTTAATTTCTGATTTTTGCAAGACAGAAAGGATATCTGTTTTTAGCAAATGCTTAGAAAAGGTCAATGTGAGCCAAATGGCAGCAAATAGGCTGACAACTCTGTGAAGGTGAAAGGAAAATGGGTAACATAAACTGTAGAATGATAGGGCTGACATGCTAGGGGCTTAAAATCACCTTTGTCTTGGCAATAATATTCAAAGGCTCCATGTTTTTTATTGCTGTACAGTTTCATTCATTTATTCAGCACATCCTTTGAGCACATTTTTTTGGAGCAGACACTGTTCTAGACACTTGAGATACCTCAGGACAAAGATGCCTGACCCTGTGGGCCCACATTCTCAGCAGGGGAATATAGGAGATAAGCAAAGAGCATAGTGAATATGCAAATGATATAGTATGTTGAGGGATATAAAGGCTAGAAAACAAAAAGGAGATGTGGGCATAGTAAGAGGGATTAGCAATACTTGAGTGGAGAGTTTATAAAGTGTTCACAATAGGACTCCTTAAGATAGTGACATTTGAGCATTGCTTGAACAAGATCAGGGAGTTTACTACATGCAGGAAGATCATTCCAGGCAGATACCGTAAGTGCTAAGATGGATACAAACATGCCAGATAGGCTGGAACAGAGCGAGGGAGAGGCAGTGGGTTGGAGATGAAGTTAAATCATATAGCACCTTTCAGTGTGGTGTAAGGACTTTCGCTTTTACTGTAAGTGAAATGTGGAGCCACCAGAGCAATCTGAGCAGAGGAATTACATGATCTGATTAACACTTAGAAAAGGATTAGTCTGATAACTGTGCTGTGTATACACTGGAGGGCAATGGTAACAGCAGAGTCCAGCAGAAGGTGATGGCCCAGTCTCAGATAGAGAAGAGGATAGTGCAGATCCGGTGGGTGGCAATTCAGGTGTTGAGAAGTAGTACGTTTCTATTTACATTTTGAAGGCAGAACCAATAGGACATGCTGATGATAGACGTGTGATGTGAAAGGAAGGGTCAAAGATGACCCTAAGATTTTTTCCTAAGAAATCCCATTAATTCAGGTGGGAAAAGTTATGGATGGAGCAGATGTGAAAGAGATGGTGAGTTTAGTTGTTGGCATGTTGAATTTCAGATGTTAATTAGATATCTATCTGGACATGTTAAGTAGGCTGCTGGATATATAACTTTGGCATTCAAAAGAGATGTCTGGGATAGAGATATAAATGTAGGAGTTGTTGGCATATAGATTTTATTTAGGATGCAACACTGAATGCAGTCAGCAAAAGAGTGAGCATAGATAGAGAACAGAAGAGGATCAAGTAATAAACCATATGGCACTTCAACACCAAGACATCAAGAAGAAAAGAAACCCTTACAAGAGAAAAAGGAGTAAAACAGAAATGTAGGAGAAACCCAAGACTGCGAGTCCCAGAAATGAGTTCTGAGTACTGGTTTCTGAGGTTACTTTGAAGAAGTTTTGAAGCCTCCAGTTAGTGAATTGAAGAGTTAGGTTGACTTGTTAGGCCAGGCGTATACAGATGAGACCAATTGAAGGGGATTACCTCCAAATAAGATATTTTTTACTTTTAGTTTCCTAACAGAAAAAAGGGAGAAAGGAACAGGTAACAGGCTTTTTAACAGAAAAACCTATCACAAGATGGTTTTTTTAAACCGGAAATCCATATAGGATTTGAGTACATCTCCTGGCACAGGATCAGTATTCGATTTGGGACAGTGCAGAATTTTGACACAACAGTGACTGGCTAATTCCACTGAATTTCAGGATTCCCTCATGTTTGTCTGCTATTGTCACGGCTGCGGGTTACCTCCAGTACTGAAGAAGATGGATTCCAGCATCAATTCAGATAGAAATAATATTGGGAACAGAAAGGTGAAGTCTAGGATATTTGAAGAGGCTTGTGTACACTAATGTGGGGATCGGGGGTGGAGACTTTTAGATGGCAGAGGTTGATATAGCATCAAATTATGCTTATATAATAAAGGAAATGCAAATGCAACCAATGTCCTTTATGTTGCAGCAAATATTTTTCTTTTGGATGCAGGACTCAGCAATAATTCAACTGAATGACATTACTGGGTCACAGCGTTGATCCTCTAGGCCAGGGTCAGTTCCTTGGGCCCCCTGCTTAATATGTCTTAGTAGGGTGGGAATAACTATCACTCACCAGGATCCAGTAGAGTAAACCATGTGGACCTGTTTCATGGAAAATTGTATCTATTAAAAAGCTATGTATCTTTCCTAGCTTGTTTTTTGTAGCTTTTCTCCTCTATGGCCGAGGTGAGTGAATGAAGTGAAAGGGAGAAGGGACAGTGTTTGAAGTTAGAGCACTTTCCCTAAAACAGAACGTTGTAAAATATATTTAAATTTTTAATTATATTCCAGGATCCATATTATTATTTGCTTTAATAAGTAAATAATGTATGAAATACCTTTCCAAAGAGTAAAATTGAGACATCAGCAAGTGTGGCTTTTGTCACCTGAGCACAGAGTCTTGCCTTAGACCAGATAGCATGCTACTAACAAGGTAATTAATTACTTTACCAGATGAGGGAAGACAAGCTTCGCACAGCTGACTACCTCTTTCCTTTTCTCCTTTCTAGTAAGCTAGATTGAACAACCAGGCATCCCAGGAAGAGGCAGAGGCAGAGAGGAGGCAGAAGCATAAGTAAAAGAAAGAGGAAGCTGAGTTAAGGGGGAAAAGTAGGTATAAACACACTCTTCCTCCCTTTCTCTCCTTTACATTTCAGCCCAGGTGGGGTTGCCCCTGACTGTCTTTTCCTCATCATATGGAGATTGAAAGACCACACAGATGGCGGGATTCTGCCAGTCTTGGCCTGGAGAAGACAGCACGAGACACATTGATTTTCCCAGCAGTGAGAAAACAATCTTATTTATTTTCTTGTTTTGCCTTATTCTTTGACAAGGCTGCTGACCTCCTAATTATGACAAATTTAAGACCAAAAAGGGGAGGGCTCTTTGATTTCAGGTTACATATTTCTTATTTTACATTTAGATACAAAAGACTTTGCCAAGCTCTCCATATGTATCATTTTATTTAAACCTTATATCTACCCCCATTGTGATAGTTACTGTTACCACTATTATACAGAACAGAAAGCAGAAACACAAAGAAGTTGAGTCTTCTTTAAAACCACACAGGGAGTAGGTAGTGGTGCCAAGATTCAAGGTCAGATTTGTTTCATTCCAACTTCTTCCTGTTTCCTCTGGAGCATTTTATTCATTTTATTGGGGAAGAGGACGTGAAGCTTTTGAATTATGGCACCCACTCTAAGAAGTAACACACTCAAAACTTTTGCTTATGCCCATGTTAGAGTAAGTGGGACCAGACTTCACCATAAACAACTAGAAAACTGGAACAAATATATGAAACACCTGTTTTCAAATACTGAACATCAGGCAATGTTGAACTGTAACCTTTAGAGAAGGGAAACAAATGAGGTGAGCCCTACAGTTTCCTTGGCTTTCTGCCTGGAGGCATTTCTGGACCACAGGAACAGGGAAGGGCCTCAGCCTGAATACAGTGGTTGCACTGAGTTAAGAAGAAAAAACTGGAGTTGAGAGAGGCTGAAGTAGCTAGAATTTATAGGACAAATAGAGAAATAACACCCGAAATTTGCATAACAGTCCTTTTGATTTTTTTGCTGAATACCAAGCCACAAGTGATGTTGGAAAAAGAACAAATGGGAAGTTTTAAGCTAAAGCAGTTCCCCTGGCTCATGCTAGGCTGGGAGACACTTGAGTTCCAAACAGGCAAAGTAGAGAGTCCTCACTGAACACCTGGGACATTCAATGGAGACCCAAGAAGGATCGTGTCACAGTAATAGGTCTAAACCAGACATACGCTAGCAGAACTAGACATACCCTAGCATACCCCTATGTCTAAACTAGACATACCCTAGCGTTAATAGGTCTAAACTGTACATATCCTAGCAGACTTACCCTAAACTAGACAAACCCTGGCAGGTTTGTTTTTGAGGCTTAAAAACAAACCTCAAAATGATCAAGGTGATTCTCAAGTAACTTATCTACCTGATAGAAAAATGTTCAGCACTATTTAAGAAAACAAACAAACAAAAAACACATGGAACTCAACAACAAAAAATTCAGATTGTCCAGCATATCATTTTTAAAAATCATAAGTTCAAAGAAAAAAGAAAATGTTACCCATTACCAAGAGAAAAAAATCAGCTACCACAAATGAATACAGAAATAACAGAAATGTGAAATTAAAAGTTGAAAGGTATAGACTCAAGGATTTGAAGGAAAGCATGAACCTCATGAAAGAGAAATGGAAAAAAGACCCAAATGAAAATTTTAGAGCTGAAAATACAGTGTCAGAAATGAAAAATTCAATAAATGACATTAAAGTAGGTGAACATGTCAGAAAAAAAAAAAAACAGTGAACTTGATGACATCGTAGTATACATTATCCAAAGGAGGGCACAGACAGCAAAACACCTAGAAAAAAATGAACAGAGCCTCAGTGGCCTATGGCGCATTATCAAAAAGTCTAAAGTATGTCAATGGAGTCTCAGAAGGAGAGAAGAGAGAAAGAAACATAAAGATATTTGAATGAACAATGGCTTAACATTTTCAAAAGTTGATGAAAATTATAAATTGACAGATCCTATATGCTCAATGAACTACCAGCAGGATAAACACAAAGAGAACCACGACAAGCATATCAAAGTCAAATTGCTGGAAATCAGTGATGAAGAGAAAGAAACAAAACAAAACAAAAAACACACGATAAGTACAGAAAAACAATAAATTACTATAGACTTCATATAAAAAACAATGCAAGCCATGGGACACAATGACATCTTTACATTTTAAGAGTAAAATCATTCTACCTAGAATTCTGTATCCAGTAACAATATCCTTTTTGAATAAAACCAAAGTAAAAGCATTTTCAGACAAACAAAAGCTAAAAGAATTTGAAGAACTTCTTCAACAGACCTTTATGAAAAGAAATGTAAAAAGATTTCTCAGGCAGTGCAAGCAAAGAAGTGATAATAATAATTGGCCATGGAATTTCAGTTGAGTAAGGGAAGAAGATAAGATGTCAAAAGGACAGGGTAAAGGTGAATGAGTCAATAAATGGGTTGCAAAATGGCATTATGAGGTTGTTGAAACTGAGTTTCTTGAGGGAATGAGGTGGAAAATAGGGTTGTTAGAAAACAAAATACATGAAATTGAAATATTGAAGAATTTGTAGTTACTGATAATAATGAGGTTCATAGCAAAGACTATAGAAATGGAATTTGTGTGAAAAATGGGTGCTTGCAGAAACAAGACATAACTGAGAGAGAGATATTCACAAAGCAACAATTTGAGCTATCATGACAGGAAAGAGGAGCCTCATACCTTTTCTCACCTATACAACTGCTGATTATCCCTGCAGGTACTTCTTTCTGGTCATGGTCTTTTACCTGACTTCTATTTCTGTCTCAGGCTCAGAGGGAAGTGGTGGGTCACCTTCCAATTTTGGCTTTCTTGAAAATATTTTCCAGTGAGTGACACACTTGACAAAGTAATATTAGAGCAGAATTCTATATCATTAGTTTAACTGAAATGTTATCGGTAAAATAAAAATATTTTACACAGAAAGAGGGAAGACAGAGATGGAAGCAGCCTTTAAAAGCCCTTTGGGGGCAATTGTAGTTCCAATTAGACCCATAGGCCATCACCCTAGCAATCCCATGGCCAACCATTCAAACATCAAGTCACCAGGGACATGCTTGTCATTTTGACTAAGTGCTGCAGAGTGACTCCTCTTCAACTGCAGGTCACTGTGACTTTTTGTCTGGGAAGTTGATGGGTTGCTTACAGTGGCTGAAACAGGCAGATGCTGACATCATGTACAACTCTGTTGAGCATTGTTGACATTCTCTACTTTCAGAATAAGTATTCTTAGACTTCCTCAGGATTTATCTGTATTTTTTTCTAAGCTAAATAACAACATAATGCAACAGGACTAAAGACATCTATGATAGAATGAAAAGACAGCAAAATAAATCTACTTGAGAATTTAGCCAAGAATGGATTTTAAGTTACTTGAGTTAATTCGTTTCCCAAAGATTATGATTCTAATGTCTCTGAAGGAGATATTTTATCAACCAAAACAGTAAACACTGAATAAAATGACAGTTGGGTCTCTTTCTGGTAGCTCATAGGTAGTTCCTCCTAAATGTGACCAGTTTAAATTCTACCCCTCCTTCAAGAGATTGCTCAAGTTGAACATCCTCAATAAATCCTATGACTGCTCCAGTTTTTGGTGGTCTCTTTTTCATCTGAGTGCCAACAATGAATATAATCTGCCACACATAGTTAGGTACTTTTTGACTTATCTTGCATTGCTTTTTTTCTAATTGTTTTATTTTCAAGCTTGTTCCATACTTGTATCAGTTTATCTCTATAACATGAGGTTAGTTTCCCTAAAGACATAGCAGCATCTAACTCTAGCTGAGCATTTGTGATACGGTGTGGCTCTGTGTCTCACCCAAATCTCTTCTCAAATTGTAATCCCCATGTGTTGAGGGAGGGATCTGGTGGGAAGTGATTGGATCATGGAGGTGGCTTCCCCCATGCAGTTTTTATGATAGTAAATGAGTTCTCTCATGAGATCTGATGGTTTAAAAGTGTTTGGCAGTTCCCCTACCCTCTCTCTTGCTGCCATGTAAGACATGCCTTGCTTCACCTTCTGCCATGATTGTAAGTTTCCTGAGACCTTTCCAGCCATGTGGAACTGTGAGTCAATTAAATCTCTCTTTTTTTAGAAAAAATAAATTACCCAGTCTCAGGTAGTTCTTTAGAGCAGTGTGAAAACAGACTAATACAATATGACTGTAATTTAAAGCATATTTATCCCATTGATGAGAAATTTATTATAGAGATTTGGCAATTGACAGGTAGAAGATAATTGAACAATTATGAATTCATTTAAGAAAAATCCTATGGTTTATTGTATTTGTTTGGATGGTAAACTCTCATTGGTTCCTCATGTGTTGTCAACCTTAAACAAGTATTTAGCTGTCAGGCACCATGTGAGACACTTGGGATATGATAGTGTTACAGCATCGTCCCTTATCTCAAGGACTCTCTAGTGTTAAGGGAGAGACAAACAGAAAGGGAATTTTTGTGGAGTGTGATGTTAAACATAGAGTGTGTTAAACATAGAGTACTATGGGAACACAGAAGAGACATCTAGACCTGGTCTGGAGATAGAGAGAGCTTCTGGAGGAAATGACAATTTGAGCTAGCTGAGACCTGAAGGTTGGGTAGGGGTTAAGAGGGCTGAGAATATCATTGCAGCAGAGGGAAGTGTATGTGCAAATATCTGAAGTTTGAGTAGAACATTATTTTTTTCTTTCTTTTCAGAACTTGGAAGTAGCTATGCATGGCTGGAGTTTAGAGTAAGAAAAACAGAGGGTCAAGAGCTGGAGAAACGAGCAGGGCCTTATATGTTGTGCTTGTTTTCGATTTCATCCTGAGTATATAGAGAATAATTTGAAGTGTCTTAAGCAAAAAACAGTAATGTGTCCTATTATAGAAAGAACATTCTAGATGTAATGTGAGTGAACTGGAAGACCACATGAATAAATGCAGAGATAGCAGTTACGATGTTGACAAGTACTGTATTTCACTAATTTTAAGACATACAATTTTCCCCCCACATTTTATTATCTCTAAATCTGGATTCATCTTACCGTTAGTGGCATGTCATAAATTAACAGAAAGCTTTTATTTTCTTTCTCAGTGATACAAAGCATAATAATGTAGTTTACAAACAATGGCAACTTAGATTCAAGTAAACAAAGTCAGAAATGATTGCAGCCTTCACTAAAATGGCAGTTGAAGAGAAGTGAATGTGAAATTAACATGTATTTTGGAGGTCAAATCATAAGAATCTGATGACTGCATTTGGGAACATGAGGTTGAGGAAAAAGTTGATGACTCCTATTTTTATTTTATTTTATGTTTTTTCATTTGTGCAGTTGGGATGTGGTGGTTCCATTCATTGAGGTAATGAACTCAATTGGGTTTGTGAGGATGAGGTAGGAAGGTGTGGGACAAGATAGATAAACAGTAAAGTTCTACGCGTAATGGTTATGAGGTTCTAGTGACTATCCAAGTTAGAACATTCCATCAGTGATTGCATCTACACTTTTGTTTATGAAAGGAATCTGAAGAGAAGATGTGGGCTCTTCTGAAAGATTTTTTACCAGCAAACCCATAAAGTAACCACAGTTGCCTTGGGCTACAAGGGAAGCAGTTTCCATCCAAAGGCTCTTCTATCTTATGTTTCATTCTTGTCCTAAGAATCCCTGAAGTGTGAACTCTGATATTGAAGTCTACATCCTCTTTATGCCTGGTAAATGTCCCTTAAGAAAAGTCCAGTCTTCTCTTTCCTGCAACCCACATGTCTTCTAGATGGTGCATATTTGAAGAGTAATCTCACTATCTTATGGAAAAGCTGAATGTATACTCATTCTGTCTGGGTTTCCAGATTTAAGAGAAATTAGATGGAAAAGGCTTACCTTTGTGACTTTGAAGTCAAGGATTGAGGTATAAAATTGTCTGCAGGAATAGTGGAAAGATAAGGAAAAGAGTAGAATATTCTGATCATGACCTTGCCACCTCTCTCTCCATAAGTTTCTCCTGGACCACCGGTGTCAGGCACCTCCTGGTTAGGTGTCTGCCAAGAACCTTGCCAGGCACTGCTCCTCCTTTCTGAGTGGTGGTGCTCAGAACCTCTGCACATGCTGCCAGGGTATGTGTTATGCCTGGTGGGTGATGCAGAGGAGACTCTGGACCTGTCTCTTTGCTTTCCAGGGCTTTATAGTTTTGGAGTGAGGATTGGGAAATATGATACAGCCATGAGAGGCTTCCCCTATTTCATTTAGACTCATAGTATTTACATTTTATCAGAAGCTTTCTTATACATTACCTTATTTGATCCTCATGAGTACTTGATGAACTAGATTAGTTGGGCACTGTTATACCCATTGTATCTCCACTGATGACCTTGTGTTTCAGAAGAGAAGAAGTCCAAAGCTAGACATGGATCTGGCAATATTAGAATTTAGTTCTCGTGAATTCCAGTTCAATCCTTTTCTCACTAGACCAGTGAAAAGGAAAAAGATTTCTAAAGGTTTTTTAAGATACCTTAGCTGATATTGAATGGAATTCTCTGAGACAAGCCTAATATCTAAGGGTCTTCTAGAAGCTGAGGCTATTTCAGAAAAGCCCAATGTCCCTTAAAAGTAGTGGTGGTACTGAGGATCTTTGCCACTATTTAATTCAGACCAATAGAGCAGGGAGGTCTCTAAGAGGGGTCTTTTAGGAGTCATGCATATAGAATTTGTTTGCTCCCAGAGGCCAGCAAATACCCTGTGGTTTGGCCCTTTTATTTTGATGTTGAACTCAGCACAGTACATGTTTTGCCTGCCCTTTCCTAGGCTTAGAAAAATATCCAGGTGAAAGAAGGAGAGTATTATTCATTACCCTAGGCAATTTGTGTGGAATGGTTTGGTTCCCAAAAACTGTCACTCCAAAGTGCAAAGAGTTCAGATCTGGAGTTTTGCAGTTGAGAGTGTGTTGAGCACCTTATGACAGGCAGTTCTGTAAAGTGAGGTTACAGAGTTCAGCAGTGGAATGTATTAGAAAGGGAAACACTCTCTGGTGTGTAGAAACATGCCCTTCAGCAAATCTGTTAACTTCATTTTAGCCTGGACCTTTTCCTTCTTGAATGTAATAAAGCTTCTGAAATGACTGCACTTGGTGAGAGGGCCTCTTCTGTCATTTACAGCAGTGGAAAACTCACAGAGTAAGTGAATTACTTTGGTTTTCAATAAAAATGTTAATATCTACCTTAGATGTGAACAAAGGACATTGCATTTCAATAATGTGATGATCAAATCCACAGGGGCTGAGAGAGAGGGAGTGTATGGAGCTGCCACTCAGTGAGAGAATGAGAGAGAGAGAAAATGAGAGAGAGAGAGAGAGAGAGAGAGAGAGACTGCAGAAGAGAACAAGTGCATGAGTACAAGAAGGAATAATTGGAGATACACCGTGCTTTAGAGGAGAACTCAAACTATGCCAAATACAATTAAGAAGATGGCAAATCAAACTGCTCTCTTTGAACAATAACAGGTAATGCAGTGCTTACAATTTTTTCCAGTACTAAAAAGTGACTGCATGTGTTTTTCTTGTTTGACTCAGAGATGTCAGTGGTCATGAGAGAAACTTCAAAAAGTAACATTTTTTCAACTACATAAAATGCAGGTAGAGTTTAAAGAGGAGCAGCATAATTTTAACACATGGAGAACACTGTTCACACCGATCAGCATTATGTTATTTTGTGTATTTCAAGACTCAAAACCCCCATCACCAAAAATCACAAAGAAAATTATGCGTGCCTTGTTAAAAAGATAGCACAGACTTGTCTTTACAAGATTCTCACTGAAACATTTTTTATATAGTGTTATTAATAACAGCTATCATTTAATGAACACTAAGTATGTGCAAGGAATTGCATTAAAATAGTAGTATACAATATCTCTTTAACTTTGGAGAACTTTAGAGGTTTTATAATTACCCCTATTTTATAGATATGTAAATTGGGGCTCAGAGAAGTTAAGTAACTTGCCCAGGGTCAAAGGGCTAACTGGGAAGAGTTGAGATTTTAACTTAGTGTGAGGAGGAATCTGTGGAGAAAATTAACTGAAAATGGCATTTTTAGGCAGTGTGCTTCCATTTATCCATCTAAGACTCGGGAATAGGCAATTCTAGAGCTTAGGTTCTATTTAAGAATGATTTTAAGATACTCCTGGTGCAGCTAACGTCTTTGCTTTATCTTAGCATTTCACTCAAATTTCAATTTCATTTCTCAGTAGTGCAATCTTGTTTTTTAAATGTATAAGTGATTGATCTGAATAATTGAATAGTTCTAGCGATCGGTATTTATATAAGATGTATCTTCAGACCACAGATATTCTGGGGCCTTTAAAAATCCCTTTCCTCTTTTACTTTGTTCAGTCTCCTATAAATAAAAAGAAAAGCCAACTATGGAAGTGTTTTCATTCATGGAAATCTGTGTGTATTCCTCTATCTCTTTACTTAGAATGTTTGGCTTACTTTAGTCTCTGTAGTTCCTGAGGGTAACCTATGTAATATTTAAATTATGCCTATAAATAAATACAGATTAACCAGCCTATAATAATTTCCTACAGAAAGCATGGTAATAAGATTAATTTAATATTATTTACTATGTTCTATGTAAAATCTGATACTTTTACTGGGAAGATGACTCATCAGGTACTCCAGAGCTCAGTTGAACTCAATAATTCTAATTTATCTCAAATAAATGCAGTGATTGGAAAAGAAGGATATCTCTGGGTGACTGTGAAGGAAATAAGGAAGAGATAAGGAGACCTATGACCCTGGATAACCCTATAAGGACCTATGACCCTGGATAGCATCTCCCTGACCTACTTCAGAACAGGTGGCTGCCATTTTTTGAATGTCAAAATTTGAAGAAATAACATTTAAAAAAACAAAAACAAGAATTTCTCTGAGGGATTATATCCAAATGTCAAGTTTGAGTTGCCCCAGAAAATAGATAATTTCTGGAATCATGGCCTTTTTGTGTGTGTTTGCTTAAAACTGTTCCTCTGGTATAGGTGAGAAGGCAAAAATCAAAAGTTTATGGAACTCATTACATGGCCATCCAAGTGTTTCTCATCCACAAAAATATTTTAACTTACTGATCCTTAACTACCAAGTAGCATGTCAACCAATATCATCACACTGCAGTCTCTGCCAAATGTTGATGCTGCCATCACTTGTAAGTACATCACACTGAATTATTTTATATTATCCCTTAAAGCTTTTTCAATGGGCAATAATTCTCAAAAATTCCTGGCATCTGCCAGATGGGATACTGTGGCAGACACTCTACAGTGATTCCAATGAGACATATCCTTGTATATCTTCTTTCCCTTGAATGTGGAATGGACCTGTCATTGTTTCTAGCCAATACAATATGGCAAAGGAATGGGATGTCACTTCCGTGCTTAGGTTATATTATGTGGCAAACGTGATGGGACCTTACTCTTGTGATTATGTCATGTTCCATAAGACTCCTTCTTAGCAGATAAAAGTGAGATGTTCTGGTGGCCTGCAAGACATAGGCAGAATACTGTGAGATGGCCACTGGAGGGGGCATGTGACAGGGATCTGAGGGTGCCCCTAGGAGCTGAGAATAGCCTACAGCCAGTTGCTAGCAAGATAATGGGGCCCTCAATATACAACCACAAGGAAATGAAACCACCATTGCAAAATTGTCACTGAGACAGTGAAACAGATCTGACTTAACCAACTCCATCTTGCTTCTAACCTCCAAGCTGTCCTTGTTTATTTCTGGGAATAGGCTAAATAAACTTTGAGAGGAACTTAGTTTATAGTTTAAAACAAAGATAATAACAGCCCTTTCTCAAAACAAACTTCCTTGCCTGGGGACTAACCTGCCTTCACAGGACTAACAAACTAGCCACGAGTTTAGAAATTTTGCTATCCATGAGCATGGAATGTTCTTCCATTTGTTTGTGTCCTCTTTTATTTCATTGAGCAGTGGTTTGTAGTTCTCCTTGAAGAGGTCCTTCACGTCCCTTCTAAGTTGGATTCCTAGGTATTTTATTCTCTTTGAAGCAATTGTGAATGGGAGTTCACTCATGATTTGGCTCTCTGTTTGTCTGTTATTGGTGTATAAGAATGCTTGTGATTTTTGTACATTGATTTTGTATCCTGAGACTTTGCTGAAGTTGCTTATCAGCTTAAGGAGATTTTGGGCTGAGACAATGGGGTTTTCTAGATATACAATCATGTCATCTGCAAACAGGGACAATTTGACTTCCTCTTTTCCTAATTGAATACCCTTTATTTCCTTCTCCTGCCTAATTGCCCTGGCCAGAACTTCCAACACTATGTTGAATAGGAGTGGTGAGAGAGGACATCCCTGTCTTGTGCCAGTTTTCAAAGGGAATGCTTCCAATTTTTGCCCATTCAGTATGATATTGGCTGTGGGTTTGTCATAAATAGCTCTTATTATTTTGAGATACATCCCATCAATATCATGAAAATGGCCATACTGCCCAAGGTAATTTATAGATTCAATGCCATTCCCATCAAGCTACCAATGACTTTCTTCACAGAATTGGAAAAAACTACTTTAAAGTTCATACGGAACCAAAAAAGAGCCCGCATCACCAAATCAATCCTAAGCCAAAAGAACAAAGCTGGAGGCATCACGCTACCTGACTTCAAACTATACTACAAGGCTAGAGTAACCAAAACAGCATGGTACTGGTACCAAAACAGAGATATATATCAATGGAACAGAACAGAGCCCTCAGAAATAACGCCGCATATCTACAACTATCTAATCTTTGACAAACCTGAGAAAAACAAGCAATGGGGAAAGGATTCCCTATTTAATAAATGGTGCTGGGAAAACTGGCTAGCCATATGTAGAAAGCTGAAACTGGATCCCTTCCTTACACCTTATACAAAAATTAATTCAAGATGGATTAAAGACTTAAATGTTAGACCTAAAGCCATAAAAACCCTAGAAGAAAACATAGGCAATACCATTCAGGACATAGGCATGGGCAAGGACTTCATGTCCAAAACACCAAAAGCAATGGCAACAAAAGACAAAATTGACAAATGGGATCTAATTAAACTAAAGAGCTTCTGCACAGCAAAAGAAACTACCATCAGAGTGAACAGGCAACCTACAAAATGGGAGAAAATTTTCACAACCTACTCATCTGACAAAGGGCTAATATCCAGAATCTACAATGAACTCAAACAAATTTACAAGAAAAAAACAAACAACCCCATCAAAAAGTGGGTGAAGGACATGAACAGACACTTCTCAAAAGAAGACATTTATGCAGCCAAAAAAACATGAAAAAATGCTCACCATCACTGGCCATCAGAGAAATGCAAATCAAAACCACAATGAGATACCATCTCACACCAGTTAGAATGGCAATCATTAAAAAGTCAGGAAACAACAAGTGCTGGAGAGGATGAGGAGAAATAGGAACACTTTTACACTGTTGGTGGGACTGTAAACTAGTTCAACCATTGTGGAAGTCAGTGTGGTGATTCCTCAGGGATCTAGAACTAGAAATACCATTTGACCCAGCCATCCCATTACTGGGTATATACCCAAAGGACTATAAATCATGCTGCTATAAAGACACAGGCACACGTATGTTTATTGCAGCACTATTCACAATAGCAAAGACTTGGAACCAACCCAAATGTCCAACAGTGATAGACTGGATTAAGAAAATGTGGCACATATACACCATGGAATACTATGCAGCCATAAAAAATGATGAGTTCATGTCCTTTGTAGGGACATGGATGAAATTGGAAATCATCATTCTCAGTAAACTATCGCAAGAACAAAAAACCAAACACCGCATATTCTCACTCATAGGTGGGAATTGAACAATGAGAACACATGGAAACAGGAAGGGGAACATCACACTCTGGGGACTGTTGTGGGGTTGGGGGAGGGGGGAGGGATAGCATTGGGAGATATACCTAATGCTAAATGACAAGTTGATGGGTGCAGCACACCAGCATGGCACGTGTATACATATGTAACTAACCTGCACATTGTGCACAGGTACCCTAAAACTTAAAGTATAATAATAATAATAAATAATAAATAAATAAACACATCCATTTAATTCTTAAAAAAAAAAAGTTAGAAATTTCGATTTAGGAGTCAGGCAACTGGAGGCCATAACATTCTGACCTTCCCTCAACTGTTCCTAAGATCAGTTCTTGAGTTATTTTGCAGATCCTGCACTTGATGGATCAACTGGTACCACCCAGATTGATAAACTGGCTCACCTGATCTTGTGGGCCCCATCCAGAAACTGACTCAGCACAAGAAGGCAGCTTTGACTCCTTATGATTCCATCTCTGACCTGACCTATCAGCACCACCAGCTCACTGACTTCCCCCCACCCACCAAGTTGTCCTTAAAAATTCTGATCCCTGAATGCTCAGGGAGACTGATTTGAGTAATAATAAAACTCTAGTCTCCTACACAGCTGGGTTTGTGTAAATTAATCTTTCTCTATTGCAATTCCCCTGTCTTGATGAATTGGCTCTGTCTAGACAGTGGGCCAGGTGAACCCACTAGGCAGTTACAGAAATACATTTTCCAAACTGAATGAGCTTGGAAAAGGAACTCTAACTCCAGGTAAGAACACAGCCCAGCTGATACCTTGATTGCAGACTTGTGATGTCCTGAGACAAGGACCCAGTTAAGCTACACCAGAATCCTGGCCCAAGACAACAGTGAGATTATAACTGTGTATTGTTATAAGTGTGTGGCAATTTGTTACACAACAATAGGAAACGCAGATGCTATAGACTGCCTATCCTACTCATTTTTCTGTTGAAAAGAACTGCCTGATAACAAAATGTAGAATATTAATATATTTTAAATGGTTTCAACTTTTAAATAGCTTACATAAAATTTCCTGCTAAATAGACCTTTAATTGTATGTAAAAATGAGGGACTAATGAGAGACAAGTCATTTGCCCATTGGATCATGGGATGGATTATAGGAATCACATTGTTGAGCCAACAATATGATTGCTTGAGTGTGGCTGAGGACCTATGTTGAGAATCACTGCTTTCTATTTTCGTATTTGCCCTTGCTGAGGAATCTCAGCTGCTCCTAAAATTGTCACTGCAAAACACAAAGGTGTTTTCTTTTTTCCTTTTTATATTATTATTTTTATAGAGATGCGATCTCACTATGCTGCCCAGGCTGGTCTTGAACTCTTGGTCTTAAGTGATCCTCCCACCTCAGTTTTCCAAAGCACTGGGATTACAGGTGTGAGCCAATGTGCCCAGTCACAAAGGTGTTTTTATGTCACCTTTGCTCTGTTTTCTGGATTAATGATGGGTAATGTAATCAGAAGGGTCATCCTATAGAAGAGATAGAAGAGGGAAGTTGTGGACTGGGACATTATTCCTGGATGAAGCTGAGAACCATAATTTAATGTGAGGGTCTCCTTAGTTAGCTGCTTGATTCAATTTCTTTTAAAAAACTACCTAGATTTGTAATTTTAAAAATTAATGTATCCCCAAGGTAAGAATATCAAGCCACATAAAAATATACACTAAAATATCTTTGACTTCTGATCTTGGACCCTGTATTAGTCCATTTTCACGCTGCTGATAAAGACATATCAGTGACTGGGCAATTTACAAAAGAAAGAGGTTTAATAAACTTATAGTTCCATGGGGTTGGGGAGACCTCACAATCATGGTGAAGGCAAGGAGGAACAAGTCACATCTTACATAGATGGCAGTAGGCAGAGAGTGAGAGATTGTGCAGGGAAACTCCCATTTTTAAAATCATCAGATCTCTTGAGACTTATTCACTGTCATGAGAACAGCATGGAAAAGACTTGCTCCCATGATTCAATTACCTCCCACCAGGTTCCTCCAATGACACCTGGGAATTGTGGGAGTTACAGTTCAAGATGAGGTTTAGGTGGGGACACAGCCAAACCATATCATTCAACCCCTGGCCCCTCCAAAATCGCATGTCCTCACATTTCAAAACCAGTCATGCCTTCCCAACAGTCCCCCAAAGGCTTAACTCATTTCAGTATTAACTCAAAAGTCCACAGTCCAAAGTCTCATCTGAGACAAGGTAAGTCTTTCTGCTCATGAGCCTGTAAAATCAAAAGAAAGTTAGTTACTTCCTAGATACAATGGGGTTACAGGCACTAGGTAAATACAGCCATTCCAAATGGGAGAAATTGGCAAAAACAAAGGGACTACAGGCCCCATGCAAGTCTGAAATCCAGCAGAGCAGTCAAATTTTAAAGCTCCAAAATGATCACCTTTGACTCTGTGTCTCACATCTGCGTCACACTGATGCAAGAGGTGGGTTTCCATGGTCTTGGGCAGCTCTGGCCCTGTGCCTTTGCAGGGTACAGCCTCCCTTCTGGCTGCTTTCTTGGGCTGGCATTGAGTGTCTGCAGCTTTTCCAGGAGCATGGTGCAAGCTGTTGGTGAGTTCTACCATTCTGGGATCTGGAGGATGGTGGCCCTTTTCTCACAGCTCCACTAGGTTATGCCCCAGTAGAGACTCTGTGTGGTGGCTCCAACCCCACATTTCCCTTTTGCACTATCTTAGCAGAGGTTATTCACGAGGGCCCTGCCCCTGCACCAAACTTCTGCCTGGGCATCCAGGCATTTCCATACATCCTCTGAAATCTAGGTGGAGGTTCCCAAACCTCAATTCTTGACTTCCACACACCCACAGACTCAAAACCATGTGGAAGCTGCCTCTGGTGCAAGCCCCCTCTGAAGCAGTTGCCAGCCCAAGTTGTACCTGGCCCCTTTTAGCCATGGCTGGAGTAGCTGGGATGCAGGGCACCAAGTCCCTGGGCTGCACACAGCAAGGGGGCACAGTGCCTGGCCCATGAAACCATTTTTTCCTTTTAGGTCTCTGGGGCTGTGATGGGAAGGGCTGCTGTGAAGACCTCCAACGTGCCCTGGAGACATTTTTCCCATTGTCTTGGGAATTAACATTCAGCTTCTCATTACGCAAATTTCTGCAGCAGGCTTGAATTTCTCGTCAGAAAATGGGTTTTTCTTTTCTATCATATTGTCAGGATGCAAATTTTCTGAACTTTTATGCTCTGTTTCCCTTTTAAAACTGAATGCCTTTAACAGCACTCAAGTCACTTCTTGAATGCTTTGCTGCTTAGAAATTTCTTCCACCAGATACACTAAATCATCACTCTCAAGTTCAAAGTTCCACAAATCCTGAGGGCAGGGGCAAAATGCTGCCAGTCTCTCTGCTAAAGCATAATAAGATTCACCTTTGCTGCAGTTCCCAACAAGTCTCTCATCTCCATCTGAGACCACCTCAGCCTGGATTTCATTGTCTTTATCATTATCGGCATTTTGGTTAAAGGTATTCAAAAAATCTCTAGAAAGTTCCAGACTTTCTCACATTATCTTTTTTTTTTCCTGAGCCCTCCAAACTGTTCCAACCTCTGCTTGTTACCCAGTTCCAAAGTCGCTTCCACATTTTAGGGTATCTTTTCAGTAGCACCCCACTCCTGGTACCAATTTATTGTATTAATCCATTTTCACACTGCTGATAAAGACATACCTGAGACTGGGCAATTTACAAAAGAAGAGGTTTAATGAACTTACAGCTCCATGTGGCTGGGGAGGCCTCACAATCATGGCACAAGGCAAGGAGAAACAAGTCACATCTCACATGGATGGCAGCAGGCAGAGAGAGAGAGAGAGATTGTGCAGGGAAACTCCCATATTTAAAACTATCAGATCTCAAGAGACTTATTCACTATGATGAGAACAGCATGGGAAAGATTCCTTCCCATGATTCAATTACCTCCCACCGGGTTCCTCCCATAACATATGGGAATGGTGGGCCTTATAATTCAAGATGAGATTTGGGTGGGAACACAGTCAAATCATATCAGACCCTTTCTACATGGGCAACAACTGTCAAGCAGTTTCATATGTATCTTGTAGGAAAGGTGTATTACCTTTAGTTGCCCATGGATCATTTTGGAGCTTTATGTGAATACATATCTTTTTGAACATACATGAGAGCACAACCCACTCTGTTATTTGGCTTATTGTTTGAATGTAACAATATATCTCAGAGATACTTCCATATTAAGAATGAATTTTTACTGTTTTAACATAATTTTTTAATATTACACTAGTGTAGATACTTTTACATATGTATACATATATACATGTGTATATGTATGTAATTTATATACACATATACACATATAAATGAGACACATATTGTGTCATAAGCACTTTATATGTGTTAAATAAAAATTACAGGAGGTCCTTATTTTGGACTGAGCTCCTGCACTAGACCCCAAGAGATCAGACTAAAAACCAGAATGGAGTCCGTCATGCTGAGGTTCTACTCACCACATGGAAACTGAGTTGTTATGTGTCCTTTCCAGAAATCAGGAGAGAGAGATAACCAAATTTCCCAAATAGGTTAGTTTTAATCTGCATGGCAATGAAATTCCCTCTGCCTTTAATCCTTACAACAAAAAGTAACCTGGGATTACCTGAAGTTAACTAATGGGTCATTTTTCTATTGTTTTATTTCCCTGTTTGCACCTTACAAGGAAAGTAACTTTGAAATAACATGTCTGCTTTTTGTTCTTTGTTTCTGCTTTCTTCAGCTCTCTGTCTATAAAGCCAACTTATTCTACTCAGCTCATTGGAACACATATTATACTTTATAGAATGAATTGTTGCTGGATTCTGGACTTGCAAATAAAGCCAAGTTAAGATCTTTAAGCTAAAGTGTATTTTTTGCCTTTTGACTTATGTGTTCACTCATTTACTCTTAACTATCCAATGAAACATGTACAGTATTTCTTTTGGCACAGCTTTACAGATGAGGAACCTGGGGCAAGAGTGCTGAGGAAGCTTGTTCAGGGTTTCAAAACTAGTAAGTGGTGAAACCACCCAGAAAATAGAGTCTCATGCACTTAACAGTCTAATTATGATTATACTTAGGTTGCTCCCAATGTTTGTTTATGTATATAACTATGCTTTAAAACATTTTTGTACATTGCAGTTGCACTCATGTGAGTATCGATGGGATACATTCCTCAAAATCAAATTTCTGTGTTGGAGGATATCCACATTTTTAGTTTTTATGGTTACTGTCAAATTCCCTTCCAAAGAAGTTGTGATAATGTGTACATTCACTGTCTGTGTGTGATAATTCCTGTTTCCTCACGAACTTGCCAAGGCTGTATACTATCAAACTATTGCCAATTTGGCAGCTAAAAAATACTATCTTTATTTTGCCTTAATTTGCATTTATTTATGAGAAGAATTGGGCATCCTTCCATCTGCTTATAAGCCATATGTGTTTATTTTTCTGTGAAATGCCTATTATATTTCTAAAAGATTTGGGGTATTTTTCTTATTGATTTCTAGAAGTTTTATATATGTGCATATATATAAAACGTATACACATATATAATTTCTACATAAAGCTTTGTGTCATTTTTGTTTTTTGTAGAGATGGGGGTCTCACTTTGTTGTTAGGGCTGATCGTGAACTCCTGGCTTCAAGTGATCCTCCAACCTCAGCCTTCTGAAGTGTTGGGATTATAGGCATGAGCCACTTCTCCTAGCCTGAGAGTTTTATATTTTAAGGAAAATAGTATTTTATCTTTCAATATATTGCAAATATTCTCTCCCCCACTTTTTAAAAAACTTTTGTCCTTGTTTATACTATTTGGTTCTAACAACAGAAAAGTTTTAAATCTTCATAGGAACTAATTTATCGACATATATTTATGGGTTGTGGATTTTATAGTTTTGATTTTAAAAAAGTTCTTTAACTTCAGAATTTTGAAAAATTGGGATATATTCTTTATTACAGTTATGGCTTCATTTTTTTCTTTCAAAATTAATCAGCTGGAATTTATTTTGGTATAAAGAGTGAGGGAATAATTCAGCTATACTTTTAGTTTAAATTGCTAACTGGTTGTCTCATCAAAATGTATTGAAATATCTTTCCTTTCTCCATCATTTGCTTATATGGCCATACTCCCTTATCTGTAGTTTCGCTTTCTGCATTTTCAGTTACCCAAGGTCAATCATGGTTTGATAATATTAAATAGAAATTTCTGGAAATAATGTTTTAGTTGCATGCTGTTCTGAATAGTGTGATAAAATCTCACACTGCCTTGCATTGTCCACACTGGACAAGAATCCTCCCTTTGTCCAGCGTATCCAGGCTGTCTACCTGCCCTTTAGTCACTCAGTGGCCCTCTTGGTTATCAGATTGACTGCAGCAGTATTCAGGTAGGAGATGAACGGGACTTATTTTCCCAGCACCAATCACGAGCCTGATGATCAAAACAGGATGCAGTGAAGAAACCGGTGGAAACCACCACATGGTGACAAAAGTGATCTCTAGTTGCTCTCACTGCTCATTAGCATAAAGACACTCCCACCAGCACCATGACAGTTTACAAATGCCATGACAACAACCCAGCAGTTATTTTATATGGTTTTGGAACTCCCTCACCCATTTTCTAGAAAATTCTGAATAATTCACTCCTTAATTAGTATACAGCTAAGAGTGGGTATAAACATAGCTAGCTACCAATCTACAGGAACTGCTACTCTGCACTGCTACTGTTGCTGTACGCTGATGCTGCTCCTCCTTCTCCTCCTCCTCCTTTTTGGGACTGCTGCTACTGCTCTGGCCTGCTCTGCCTATAGAGCAGCCACTTTGCTGTACACTGCTACTCTGGGCAATTCTGCCTATGGGAGAGCCCCGCTCTGTCTATGGACAGCCATTTTGCTGTACACTGTTGTTGTAATCTTTAATAAACTTGCTTTCTTTCACTGCTGTCTCTTGAATTATTTCCTGAATGAAGCCAAGAACCCTCTGGATTGAGCACCAATTTGGGGGTTTGTCTGCATCAGTGTTGTCATGGGTGATCAGCAACTATTTGAGGCCAGTGGTGTGGCGGTAAGAATAATTTACAAGACAGCTGTAGGTAAAGAAAGGCAGATTTAATAGAGAAAGTATGGAAATATGTTGCAAGAGTGGTTACAGACAGGTTAGCAAGAGAGGAGCTAACTGCAAAGAGACAAAGGCTTCCTGGGAATTTTATAGGATGGTGCTTATGCTGTGTGCTGAGGAGGGCTTTGTGCAGTTCTAATAATGCCAAAATTGCAGTATCCTAACTAACTTTTTTTAAATTTTAGTCAGCTGAGGATCTGGTGATAGCTGGGTACAGGAAGATTGTGTTATTTGCACAGGAGGGCTACATATCCTGGACCAAGAAGAAAGGCAGACTTAGAGCTTATCTGCTTTCTCTTTTTGCTTTCCCTCAGTTCCACCAACTTGACTCCCTCTCCTCAATTAAGACTCCACAAGTATCACGGTGTTTCTATTCAAGTAACCCTTACGTTTCTTCGTAATGGCCCCAAAGTGCAAGAGTAGTGATGCTGGTATATTGTATAATTGTTCTTTATTATTATTGTTGTTGTTGTTAATCTCTTACTTGCCTAATTCAAAAATTAAACTTTATCATAGATATGTGCGAAAAAACATAGTACTGTATTTATAAGGTTTAGTGCTATCCAAGGTTTCAGGCATCTACTGAGGTCTTGGAACGTATCCCCCTTAGATAAGGGAGGACTACTGTACTAATTCTCATATCTGCTTATATGTATTTTTGAACTCTTTGTAACCATTCCACAGTCTGGACACCTTGGCTTCTCTACACTCTCCTACCTGCCTCTATACACATTTCTATTCATTTTCAGAATGTTCTGGGTATTATCATCACATATTTACTTTTTTTTCAGTTAAACTGTAAAAATAGTTGGTCTCTTTACAAAAAGTTGTTATTCTAAATGATATTTCACTAAATATTTAGATTAATTTATGGGAAATGGAAATATTTACTATTGAGTATTCTTAACAAATAATAAGGTGTATATATATATATGTATATATATATATCCATTTATTTATATTTTTCACGTCCCTAAGAAAATTGTGATGTTGTTTTCCCCACCACTTCTTGTTTGTTACTTGGTTGTATGTATGTATTTGTGTGCACGTGAGTGTTGGTATTGGTATATAGGATCTTTCCTTATACTATTTTTGAATTGGTTATAGTTTTTATATAGGAAAGCTACTGGAGTTTTAGTATACAAATTTTGTAGCAGTTAGATGAGTGAATTATTTTGTGGTTTCTTTTTTTTTTCTGATTCCCTAGGATTTTAAAGATTCACAAGCATACAATTGTATCATCTGTAGATAATTTTGCTAACTCTTTTCCTCTAAAACCTTTATTTTTTTCTCTTAGATAATTGGATTGATCGGCACTTCCTGAATAGTGTAGATTAAAGCTTTAAAAAAATCTTGTTCTTGACTTTAATAAATAAGTTGTTGATGTTTAACCATCAACAACTTTTAGTAAATTACCTTTATTAAATGTATACCAATAGAGGGTATTTTCCAGATTTAGTCAGGATTTTTAAAATTTTGCTACCTAAATGATACTTTTTAATCTACAGAAATGAAAACTTTCTGCCTTTACTTATTGTTATAGTGAATTATATTAATGATATTCTATTATTGATTTCCATAGATCATGCTTCTATTTCTGAACAAACCCTACTTATTTGTTTATGATGTATTGATCTTTAAATGTGCTACTGAAATGGGTTAGCTACATTTTATTTAGAATGTTTTCATTGTTATTCATTATAAATGAGATGGGTCTGTATTCTTTCTTGTGGGCTATGTTTGTCAAGTTTGGGTGTCAATATTATACTGCTTTAAAAAAGACTTGGAGGCTTTCTTTCCCTTGTTCAGTTCTGGAACAATATAAATTAACACTGAAATGATCTATCCTACCTGCAGATATATTCAACTTTTATATTTTTAAAAACAATTCTGGACTTTTTTCATTAGAGGGTAAGTTCTTATCAGATTCTTATCAGAGCTTGACCAGATGCTTAAGTGTAATCGTACAATTTTATCTTTCTGGGGCTAATTTTAGTTATTTTTTTAAAGCATTATGACCTCATCCAGATATTTCAAATTTATATTGAGAGCTTTCAACATTTTTTTGCTAATTATTATTCCCCTATTCATTATTCCTAATTTATTTTATAGAAATAAATTTTACTTTTATTTCTTTTAAAAATACTTTTCATAGGATATTCTTTGCTCTGCATTTACTTTTTTCTATTTTCTTCACTTACTTTTAATTTTTTTAAATAACATGCAATAAATTCCCACCAACTATTGCTTCAGCTCTATTCCAAAACTTATGATTACTACTGTTATAAGTATCTTGATTTTCTACAGTAATTTTGGTGTATTATCAACCCTTCTTTGCTTCTCCATATTTTCATGATTATGCTTTTCCTGGGATATAGTCAAACATTTAAATATCCACAAGTTCCTATATTTGATCATCTTTAGATAGAAGCTATTGGCTCTCCCTTATGACAGATGAGAAAATCTCACTCTTTTTACTCCTATCTTCCAGAGTTCACTTCCTAAATTTTGTTAAAGTATAACTTTTTATTGTACTTCATACACTGGTATTATTATACTCTGTATCTGTAATTTAGTCTACATTATATGTTTTCAAAATAATTCAGTGTTTACTATCACTTATATAAAAATGGCTTCTCCAATTATTTCTTTTGTAGGATTTTTATAGGATTTTTTAATTTTGTAGGATTTTTTAATTCTATTTTTCTCCTCAACACACATGAGTGTCTGTCACATTTAAGGTTAAACTATTTTATTCATATAACTTTCTTATGTTGTCTTTCCTTTCTTTGAGAGTGTACACCACTTTTTTTCTTATTTATCTTTTATGATTTTGCTATTTTATTTTTATTTTTAATAGCATTTTATTTCTACAGAACAAAACATATGTGTTGCAGAAGTTAGAAAATAAAAATAAGCAAAAACAAAATTAAAAGATCACCATTTGACTCCCAAAGATCCTCACTGCAACATCACTAAAAGGATATAGTGCATATTATTTAGATATTTTCCATGTACATGAAAATAAACATACACATGCATAATATACAAAATATTTTCCCTGTCATCTAAAACATAACAGTTTCTGTTAATAAAACCAGGCCAGCCTGCTTGTATACCCCACTTGGCAGCTTGCTTTTTAACCTGAATGGAAGTGCATTCTCAAGCTTGAAAACTAATCAAATTACCAAACTGTGTTACAGTATCAGCCATTCTATATCATTTTCCCACGAGGACATGTGTGCCCATCTAATTTGCAGATTCAGGGTGTTCTTTATTTATTGTTTTAATATGAGGGTAAAAAAATAGCAGTTCTATGGCTTCAGGTATCTCTGAAAATAATCTTAAACTGCCTTGAACCATGAGAGGAGAACATACTGAGACCCTCCAAAACATTGGTGGCATTGTCCTTTCAGACCATTTGTAAAGATTATCTCCTAGACCTCTTTATTTATATAATCACAACTTTTATTGAAAGCATTACAATTATTTCCATGGTTAGGGAGCACTATCAGTTCTTTTTCAGTTCAGTTCATTTATTCAAAAAAGATCATTTCCAGCTCTTTCATTCTCTTTTCACTTCACAGTTTCTACCATAAACATGAACTAAAACATACTAATTTGTAAGAAATTTTTGTTGTTTTATTTTTGTTCAAATTACTTTTCCTCTTGTCTCGTTTTCCTATTGCTGTTTCTCTCTTTTTCTATGTGTCTTTCTCTACATGCATGACTACATAAATACACACACATGCATGCATATCCACACAGATACACACATAAAATTTTAACCCTCCACTGTTTGTGTCATAAGAGAGGATACAGTCTGAGAACCAATCCCATCACATAAGTGCTGTATATGGATTCAACCCAAATGGATCTCAGACTCAAGAAACACATTCCTTGAAGTTGTAATGATTTAACAAAAGTCTGTGAGGTAAGTGGATGTTTGAGTTTCTGTTGAAATTTCCCAGGTAAAAGAAGCAAAGGGTCAAATATAATCCATTGTGTCTAATGATACTCTGCAAATTGTTTTGGGTTTCCTTTTTCTCTCCTCTCATGAAAATATTCCAAGGCACTCATCCCTGTAATTCTACCACTTTGAGAAGCTGAGGTGGGAGGATCACCTGAGCTTGGGAGGTCGGGACTGTAGTGAGCCATGATTGCTCCACTGCACTCCAGCATGGGTGACAGAGTGAGACCCTGTCAAAAAAAAAAAAAAAAAAAAAAAAAAAAAAAAACTGAGGCAATGATGGAACACTCATGACAACATAAGGATATATGGCAGAGGGTGGAGGGAAAGGATTAAAAGAAGACAAACTGCTTTTATAACCTAACTGTCCTTAGAAGACCAGGCTAATGAAATGCATTTTCCCTCTAATGGCTTTCATTTCAGAATACTGTGTGGTTTTCCCTGAAAATGTGACGCATTCTCACTTTACAAATCATTTTGATTTCCTCTTGTTGTCACACTCTGTCTAATTTTGCTGAGTTACTGGCAGGACATTGACTACAGTGATGGAGAGTCACCACCAGTATTACTAAGGATCAGATTTTCTGGTTTTATAACTTGAAATCATATGTTTCACTAAGAATTCTGTGACTTAATTTTCCTGAAGATTCATTGACACTAAAAACAAGAAATGACAAGTTTTATAATTCTATAGGCATCACTGTGAAATGCCTGGTATAGAATACGTTTGTGGTAGGTACTCAGTAAGTATTGATTTGTTATTGAATCAATAAATGGCAGGCAAACAGAATAGAGTGATTTATAAAAATAATCATGATGTTTGGGCCCATTAGAATGGACAATTTACAAGTAGCATAATTTAGTAATTTCTTCCCTGGTTATTTGGCCCACATCCAAAATGCAGTCCATACTGTAGAGATGTACAAATCTCTGCTTCTGAGAGAGAGCAATCCTGTGCTCTTGGATGGTGAAGGTCTTTTTGGACAAAGGTACACACACTCACACCCACATATACACAACTCATTCACACATACAGAAGCATACCCAATACAGAAACATTGTAGCTTAAATGAGTGTTGCTGTTGGTATTATATTATCATGTAGGAAAAATAAGTGAGAAATGGATCAACTTTCCATTTTATTGTTCATCATTGGCTGACTCAAGTTTAAAACTGAAAAGATTAGCTCTCAGACAGTCCCTTCAAAGTTTGGAGATTTATTCAGGGTAAGCATCTGGAAGATTTGATGCTTATCTGTTCTATTTAGTGCTGTCCCACCCAAAATGTGGTTAGAAATATAACAAGATTAAGTCTTCCCTATGAGAGGAAGTTGGACCTTTATCTTGTCAGCAAAACTAGAACTGTTGGATTTTTTTAAAAACTAAAACCACTTCACAGCTTCTTGTAATCCAGCTGTATCCAGGAAATAACAATGATAATCAAAGTATCATTCCCATGTTTTCCACTCTCTCCAAAGCCTTCTTTGGGAAATCAGGGGATGATGGAGATATGTGTGTGTTTCTCATTCCTAATAAATTTAAATGTGATTGGATTGGTTTTGTGGGAAAGAGGGAATTGAATAGCTTGAACTTATCTCCTTTGAAACAAAACAAATACTTTTTATTATATCTAGTTTGACCCATAAAAACACTCAGAGGAGTGCAAACCACTTTGGATTTTTGAAGGGAACACTGACAAATGATTTGAGTGATATTTTCCAGAATAGAGATAATGGGACTCTCTTTTCTGTCATAAACAGAAAGAACTTTGGATGGCCTGAGACCATTCTGGGCCATAGTCATCAGCAAGTCCTGCTCTGGATATGTGACTTTGGCATGTCATATACAGAGTTCATCTCAGAGGAGCTGCTAATGCAGGTTAATTTAAAAAGCTCAAAATCTTGCAAATCACCCACCATGATTTAGGGATTATCCCTCCCCTCATTAGAACTGTAAATTTTAATATAAAAAAAATTGAGATAATCTAATTCAGTGGTTTTCTTAAAGTTGTAGTGTCTAACTATGAAATTCTCCAAAGACACTGAAAATTGTAGAAGATAACAATAACATTCATCATCAGTAGTAAGCAGATGGTAACATTTTGTTATACCTAATTCAGATCTCTTTTTAAAAAATAGAAACAAATATTCCTGATACGACAAACCACCCTTCTTCCAACTCCCAATTCTTTCGCCTATTTTTTTCAGGAGAAGTTATCTCAACTTTGAAATGCATGCAAGTTAAAAAATACCCCTCCTACAAACGTATTTATTCAATAATGCTATATGGTTTTGTTTCACATATTTTAAAATTCACATAAATGGAATCATATGAGTGCCAGCTTGCAATTTGCCTTTTCACTCATTATTGATTTTTGAGAACTATCCATGTTGGTAAATGCAGATGTAGCTTATTTATTTTAATTGCTGTATAGTATTCCATTGTATGAATGACATTTGAGAGATGGTAAAGTTATTTCCAGGTTCTCGTTACTTTAAATAGTGCTTCAGTGAACATCCTTGCATGTGTATCCTTGTGTACACATCCCTTGTGCTTCTCCAAGTTAAAGAACATGAGCCCAGACGTGGAATTTCTTACTCAGAGACTATTCACATTTTAGATTTTACTGGATTTTGTTCTATTACTCTTCATAATGGTTGTACAAATTTACAGTCACACCAGCAATAGCTAATTGGTTAAGAGTTTGTGCTCTCAGATTTATTAATTTGTGGCAAATTTGATGAAATGATATCTCATCATAGTTTATGGTTTTTGTGTCTTCTTTAGGAAATCCCTACCTTTGTCATGGGCATAAAATGTTACATGTTTTCTTGTAAAAATGTCATATTACTGATTTTTCTTCTTTAACTCATTTGCATTTTTTCAATGGACATAAAATAATATCTTTTTGTCTTTTTCCATATGGAGAGCCAATTTTCTAGAAATAGTTATTGAATAGTCCACTCACAACTCTTGGCCAGTTCTGGTCACATGGTCCTACCCAAACATGAGGGGAGTGCCCAGAAGTGGCTCCCCACTGAACATATTGGTGAACAGCAATAGTATTAAATAATTACCTACAAGGGATATGATGGTTTTAAAATATGTTCACAGATTCTTTGACACTCTTCTTTTCAAAAGATGGAGTCTAATTTCTCTTCTCTTGTGTGTAAGCTGGACCTAGTAACATGTATTCTAGTGCCAGAAGTGAGGGTGTATGATTTCCAAGATAAAGTTAGAAAAGGTACTGTGGCTTCTGTCTTACTTTCTTTTGGATCACCTGCTCTGGGGAAAGCCAGGTGTTATGTTAGAGGCTACTTGGGCAGCCTTATGGCAAAACACATGTGGCAAGGAACTGAGGCTTCTTTGTAAAAGGCAGCAGTAATTTGTCAATTATGCAAATAGCCACCATGAAAGCAGCTCCTCCCACTCTAGTCAAGCCTGGAGATGACTGCAGCCTTGGCCACTGGGATCTTCACTGCAAACTGAGGACAAGTCAAGTCCTGAGCCAGAGTCCTTAGCCACTCAGCTAAGGTGTTCCCAAACTCTCAACCCACTGAAATTCTGTGAGATGATAAGTGTTTATTTTTGTTCTAAGCCAATCAATTTTGGAGTGATTTGTTTAATGGTAATAAAGGATTAATCCATTGAGTTTCACTAAATTTGAAGGCAATGTTTATTTCAATATGATTTAAAATATAGGTTATGTGGCATAAATCACATCTAATTTGGTAGTCCTAGGAGATTATTAACCTCAAAGAAACGATTATTAATTAACCAGAGCAGGTTTATAAACTGATGGACAACCAGAGGTCTGGAAAGACATTTATATCTATTGAGGTGCTGTGGACAGGAAAAAAAAAAAAAAAAAAAAAAACAGAAACAAAAACCAAAACCTCAAACCAGTCATTACTAATAGGAACCACAATAAAAAGTTGTGTTTTGAATTTGAAAGCTCCAAATTGCCGTGACTCATTTGCTATTCGTCTGCTTCTTACATGGACAACTCCATAGAACCATGCATCCATGGAATAGGGATTGAGTAGGGATTTAATTAATTATTTATTTTTATTTAATGTCACATGATATTAGAGAATGAAACAAAGGTCCGTGTAGTCTCTAGCATAAAAATATCATCTGGTTTCCATACTTCATAAAGTTTTGGGAAGGTCAAAGTAAATAATGTGAGAAAAGGCTTTGGGAGCACAAAAGAACTGTGTTAATGTATCACCAGAATTATGTGTCAGTCAGGAAAAGCTAGGTTTTGCTGTGGTAATGGAAACTCCAAAATCGTAGGGGCTTACAACTTGTGAGCTTTAGTTTTTGTTTATGTTAGACCACTCCAAGTTGGCCATGGCTCTGTCATGTCATCTTCACTCTGAGACCCAGAAGGCAGAGTAGCCTGTAGCCAGAGGAGTGACACTTGTCATACCAAAGAGAAAGAGTCATGAAGGACTTCCTGAAAGGGCAGACTTCATGATTTGCTAGAAAGACTCAGAGCACATTACTGTGTAGTGATGATTTATTACAGCAAAATGATACAAAGTAGAATAAGCAAAGGAAAAGGTACATGGGACAAAGTTTTTTGGAGGAAAACAGGTACAAGATTCCGAGTCCTTATCCAGTGCAGTAACACAGGATGTGCTTCATTCCTCCAGTGCCAAATCGTAACAATGTGTGAAATGTCATCTACTGGGGAAGTTCACAAGACAGACTCAATGCCTAGAGTTTTTACTGAGGGATGATCACAATAGGCATCCTCTGTCCTGCATGTACCCAAATTCTGGACTCCCAGAAAGGGTTCATGGGTTCAGCATAAGCCTTATTCTTTGCACAAACAGTTTAGGTGCTGTGAGCCATCCTTATCAGGAAATGTGAGACCCTTCCTGAAATTCAAGCTCCCCAATTCCAGCTGAGGGCCAATCTTGCACACAGGTCTTTCTAAGCCAAGCAGACTCAGACCTTTTATGCTAATTCTTTCTGCAAAAACCCATATCACTCCTGTTCACATTTTCTTGCACAGAGGAGGTCACATGGCCAAAACTGACATCAAAGCAGTGAGAAAGTATAATCTTCCCACAGGAAGTGGCAGCCGATATTTTGAACTATAATACGATCTACTATAGAAACAACATGAAAAAAAGAGAGAAGAAACTGATATCTCCTACACCTATGTATATGCATACTTTATGCATATTTTCATTGTCTTGGCTCACATTATATAAATTGTTTTAATGAAATGAATTGGGCCAGGTAATCCCAGCACATTGTGACGATGAGGTGGGAGGATTGCTTGAGTCCAGGAGTTCAAGACCAGCCTAGGCAACATAGTGAGAGCCCCATCTCTATAAAAATTAGGTGGGGATGGTAGTGCATGCCTGTAGTCCCAGCTACTTGGGAGGCAGAGATGGGAGGATTGGTTGAGCCCAGGAGTTTGAGACTGCAGTGAGCCGTGATTCCTCCACTGTACTCCAGCCTAGGCAACAGAGTGAGATCCTGTCTTAAAAAAAAAAGAAAATTAGATCCCATTTGACAATTTTGGCTTTTGTTGCCATTGCTTTTGGTGTTTTAGAAATGAAGTCTTTGCCCATGCCTATGTCCTGAATGGTATTGCCTAGGTTTTCTTCTAGGGTTTTTATGGTTTTAGGTCTAACCTGTAAGTCTTTAATCCATCTTGAATTAATTTTTGTATAAAGTGTAAGGAAGGGATACAGTTTCAGCTTTCTACATATGGCTAGCCAGTTTTCCCAGCACCATTTATTAAATAGGGAATCCTTTCCCCATTGCTTGTTTTTCTCAGGTTTCTCAAAGATCAGATAGCTGTAGATATGCAGCGTTATTTCTGAGGGCTCTGTTCTGTTCCATTGATCTATATCTCTGTTTTGGTACCAGTACCATGCTGTTTTGGTTACTGTAGCTTTGTAGTATAGTTTGAAGTCAGGTAGCCTGATGCCTCCAGCTTTGTTCTTTTGGCTTAGGATTGACTTGGCTATGTGGGCTCTTTTTTGGTTCCATATGAACTTTAAAGTAGTTTTTTCCAATTCTGTGAAGAAAGTCTTTGGTAGCTTGATGGGAATGGCATTGAAGCTATAAATTACCTTGGGCAGTATGGCCATTTTCATGATACTGATTCTTCCTACCCATGAGCATGGAATGTTCTTCCATTTGTTTGTATCCTCTTTTATTTCCTTGAGCAGTGGTTTGTAGTTCTCCTTGAAGAGGTCCTTCATGTCCCTTGTAAGTCGGATTCCTAGGTATTTTATCCTCTTTGAAGCAATTGTGAATGGGAGTTCACTCATGATTTGGCTCTCTGTTTGTCTGTTATTGGTGTATAAGAATGCTTGTGATTTTTGTACATTGATTTTGTATCCTGAGACTTTGCTGAAGTTGCTTATCAGCTTAAGGAGATTTTGGGCTGAGACAATGGGGTTTTCTAGATATACAATCATGTCATCTGCAAACAGGGACAATTTGACTTCCTCTTTTCCTAATTGAATACCCTTTATTTCCTTCTCCTGCCTAATTGCCCTGGCCAGAACTTCCAACACTATGTTGAATAGGAGTTTATTGCGGCACTATTCACAATAGCAAAGACTTGGAACCAACCCAAATGTCCAACAATGATAGAGTGGATTAAGAAAATGTGGCACATATACACCATGGAATACTATGCAGCCATAAAAAATGATGAGTTCATATCCTTTGTAGGGACATGGATGAAACTGGAAATCATCATTCTCAGCAAACTATCGCAAGAACAAAAAACCAAACACCGCATATTCTCACTCATAGGTGGGAATTGAGCAATGAGAACACATGGACACAGGAAGGGGAACATCACACTCTGGGGACTGTTGTGGGGTGGGGGGAGGGGGGAGGGATAGCTTTAGGAGATATACCTAATGCTAAATGACGAGTTAATGGGTGCGGCACACCAGCATGGCACATGTATACATACGTAACTAACCTGCACATTGTGCACATGTACCCTAAAATTTAAAGTATAATAATAATAAAATAAAAAAAAGAAAAAAAAGAATTATATAATGACAAAAAGAAAAAATGCAATAGCAAGTATTAGAGAGACTCCAAGTACTGATTAATTAAAAAGTTAGTTACTATTCTTTCCACATTATAAGTCTTTTTTGTTTTTGGAGATCAAGTGGTTCTTTGATTCCTTTTTGAAGGCAAGTGCTTTCATTTTGCTTCTGACTTTCTCTAAAGCAGTGCTGTATTTGTTAAAGCTCTAATCCTCTCAGGCACTTGTGATTAGACCCCCGAAGAACTGTTTCATGGCCTCTGCTATGTTTTCTTATCACTGTACCTTTTAAGCTTTCAACTATATTTCAAGTTCTGGCCTGCGTGTGGCCTTCAGCATAAATTTCGCAGGCAAAGTGGTTTGTTCTAATGCTTTCCTCATCTCTCTCAATTGTTTGCATGCTTCTTTTTATTATCTTTCCATAGCTCTTTGACCTTTTTATTCATTAGCTCAAACCACATGAAATATCATTTGGCTAAGGGTTAAGTCAGAAAAATAGGAAAGGTGGTTGGCTTTTGGCATATATATTTACATTTTTGAATTTTCTATTTTTGCATTTTCAGTTTTATTTTCCTTAAAAAAAACCTTGGGTCCTCACCTCCCCCTTCCTAAAAACACTCATGTTAATTGTATAGAAATAGAAATAAAAATCTTTTTGGTAAAAACAGCAGGTTTTAACTTCTGATCTCTCCACCAAAAAAAAAAAATAGTTATTTAGTAGGAAATTACAATATATTAGAGGGAAGTATATTTGCAGCATAGTTTTAAAAGATAACATCTCCGTTTTCAATGAAGGGAGGACTTTATATGGGTCTCTTCTTTATGCTTAGATGGCAGAATGTTTTATTGCTATTTATAAAAGCCTGCATTAAAAGAATGCAATATTGGTTCTCCCAGAGTGGGATCTATTTGGAAAACTAATTATCTCCAATTGGCTGCAAATTTTCAAGAATCTGCCAAGAAGACAAATCAGGAATACCATCTAAATGACTTATTACAGTCGGAGGTACTTTGGAGCTCTTGAGACCTTCCCAACAGCTATTTAAAACCCTGGCCACTTGCCTCTAGCTTCTTTCCTTTCCTCCTCTCGCTTTAACCTCTGCAGGTGAACTCAGCTCTTATTTATTGGAGAAAATAAGGACCAACTAGGGAGAACTTGCCCATTGTCCTGCCATGCCAACACATTTATCTGCTTTCACAGCTTCCTAATGCCCTTTCCTTCCACCTCAGAGGAGGAGCTTGCTCTGCTCCATCTGAGGCTGATCTTATTACATGGGGTCTTCAAGGTTCTTGCTCCATTAGACAACTCTCCCTCACCTGCAGAGTTACCTCTCCCTCTTTTTTGGCTCTTTCCTTTCAACCTATAGATTTTTTTTCGAATTTCTTCAGTTGAAACAGTAGCAACTACAACAATACCCCTCACCACAACACACATACACACACACTCCGAAACACACACACACATACACACACACACACACTTGCTCCAGCTTCTTTTCTTGTAATTCAGATACCTGTTACAGAACTATCCAAGCCCTGTCACCTGGCAGGTAGCCATTGTCTGGGTGAGGTATCCTGTTGTAATCTGGGTGCAATAGTGGTGAGGGCTCCATTACCACATGACCACTTCTGTTTCCTTTGTAAGCAGAAATGTTTAGCACATTTCGCTTGAGCTGTGTGTGTGTGTATAAATACATCAGTTAGTACGTGGTTAAACGGCAAAAAAAAAAAAAAAAAAAGGCTCTGATGATTTTCTCCCAACTAAGTGGTCAGATAACATGTACTGAGTACTTACCACATGCCAGGTGCTGAGCTAAGCCTTTCATGTGGATTACTGCACTTTATCCTAATGATCATGAGATAGTACTATCATTCCCATTCTCCAAATGAAGAAGTGAAACATCAAATATTGAGTACCTTGCTCAAGCACACAGAACAAGCAGGTGGGATTGACCATTGTTTCCCTGGCAAGACTCCAAGAGCATCCACCTTTGGGGGTAGTAGAGCACATACCTAGAATGCCAACCTTTCAATAACAGAAGTGTCCATTCTCTGCAGTGCTCCTGAGTCCACTGAGATACCTCATATATCCTCATGTGTACCTGTTGATTCTCTTACAGTGGTTTTCAATCTAAGTTAAGCATGAGAATTACGCCTGTCCCTAACCCAGACCAGGTGAATGAAAATATCTGGGGGAAATATGGGTACCTGTGTTTTGCAAAATCTTCCCTGAGTGATTCTGATGTGCAGAAAGGCTCACCGTTTCTCTCTTTTCTCCAGTATCCTGCTTCCTGCTCCCTTTATTCTTTTGTTATATTCTCTTCTGAATGGAGAGAAACCTTTCATTTTGAATAAATAAGATAGTTTGATAATCAGCTCTCTGTGGGTGGTGTTACTGGGAATTATTATAACTGTGTTTTGACTCTTTCATTAAAAGAGAAGTACAACTCATACAGATTGAGTAAATACTTGTGGTATTGTGAAATGATTTTTAAAAGCTCCATTACTCTGGACACTAGAAACAACATGAATCAGATGTCTTCAAGCTGTTTCTAGTTATAGGTTAACCTGAGTCTTGGAAACATTCAGTGAATCAGTGTTACCTTTCAGTTCCTCTGCTATAACCACAGTTGTGTATTAGGTATTCTACCGTATAGGCAGTTTTTAAAAAAATAATGAATCTACATGGTGTATTTAACACATAACTTATTGAGTTTAATTTCCTTTGTTATTTGGGAAAAAATATATTTGAAATCACCAAGCTACTGAATGTGTTATATTTAAGGGAAGTAGAAGAGGGTTTTGAATGACTTTTCTGCCATTTTCAATTTAAGTCTTATATTCTGGGAAACTAAATGCCAAAACTAATTTTGAAAAAAAAAAAGATAAAAATATCTATACCACTTTGTAGAGGGAAAGTAATTATTTTCAAAAAGCATCTCACTTTGCTAATGTTGAGAATAATCTGTGGCTTGATCCCAGGACTCTCTTATTTTGTCCTGGTGGGGGTAACTGTCAGCAAAAATTACTATACTGCTCTCCAACTATCAGCCTTCATTCTCAGAAAGTGTATAGTGTTTCTATGATTTATGACACTAATGGGACTCTCCTGGCAGCAGTGTGATCCATTTTGCTGATATAAAGGAAGCAGACAAACTCTAATCTCCTGTTGCACATATCCAAAGACTGAAGAAGAGACTGACATTTTAATTAGCATGGAAACGAGAGATGTGGAAGCCTTCAGCCCCTGAATGAACTAAGTCCTGCAATAGAGTCATATATAAAAGAAAAAGGCTCAATCATGCTTAAAAAAAAGACTGAAACAAACACTGGCCATTATGTGCTACATCACTTTACCAAAGGACATCAGAATATAAATCTGATTGGAATTTTAAAGGGCAACTTCTATTTTATGAGATAAAGTTTGTGACCTGAAAAATAACCATATTTATAGAATTATAGTAGTATTTGGAAATACTTACAAAGGAATAATTTATACATTAAAATTAAACTTTGAAATATGATTATGTCAAAATTAAAGGGCTGGGCGTGGTGGCTCACGCCTGTAATCCCAGCACTTTGGGAGGCCGAGGCAGGTGGATCACCTGAAGTCAGGAGTTCAAGACCAGCCTGGCCAACAGGGTGAAACCCGTCTCTACTAAAAATACAAAAATTAGCTGGGCGTGATGGCGCATGCCTGTAATCCCAGCTACTCGGGAGACTGAGGCAGGAGAATCACTTGAACCCAGGAGATGGAGGTTGCAGTGAGCCAAGATCATGCCACTGCACTCCAGCCTGGGCAACAAAGCAAGACTCTGTCTCAAAAAAAGAAAAAAAAAATCCAAGAACACTAGACTCAAGTCAAATTGAATAACAATCTTAGGTTTTCCATTAACTAGCTGTGTCATCTTGGACCAATTACTTGATCTTTCAGGGCCTCACTTTCTATGCTAGACTAGATAACCTCCAAAGACTTTTACAACTCAAGCATTTTGTGATTTCAATAGATTTCCCATAGTAGTAGCTAATAAGTGAGCTGGAATTGTAATGAACAAGACTACTCTTCCGTAATAAAAAGGAACACCTGACTGCAAGTCAAAAAAGCTGCCTTCTACTCCTTGCATCACCAATTAAAAACCATGTGATCTGAGCACGTTCTTAATGCCATTTCCTTACCTGTAAATTAGGAATGGTGGTATCCCTTTGCATGGACAGGAGTTTTGAATGAAATGACGTGTGTATTAGTCTGCTTAGGCTGTCGTAATAAAAATACCACAGACTGCATGGCTTAAACACAGAAAAATTTCTGCTCACAGTTCTGGAGGCTAGATGTCCCAGATCAAGGCCTGACATAGTCAGTCTCTGGTGAGGGCTCTCTTCCTTGCTTGGAGACAGCCATCTTCTCTGTGTCCTCTCACAGTGGAGATAGGAACTCTGATGTCTCTCTTTTTCTTATAAGGGCACCATTGTTATCAGATTAGGGCCCCAGCTTTATGACCTCATTTGACATTTATCACATCCTCACAGACTCTATCTTCAAATATAGAAGCATTGGGGTTAGGGAGTCAACATATGAATTTTGGAGAAATACAATTTGGTCCATGGCATATATGAAAATTCTTTGTAAACACATCATTTTCAATTTTGTGTAAACACACAATTTTTATGTCCCAATAAAAATTAACAGCATAAGGAGATTGGGCACTTATATCCAATGTTGGCGAGACTACTGCCAACCAGAAGGTCTTTGAAAGACTATTTAGAAATTTCCACTAAAATATAAAGTGCTTATGCCTTTTGAGCTACTACTTGCACTTTAAGAATGTATACTTCTGAAGCATTCTTAGAATTGCACAAATATATACATATGGAATACTTATTGAAGTACAGTTGAAAAATTGGAAAAAATTAACAAGCAGATAAATAATTTGATACACTATAGTATGTCATACAATGAAATATTTTATATCCAATATGTATCTGTAATGTGAAAAATTACATATCCATTAAAACTGTGGTTAATCTGTACATAGTGACATAAACTGATGTCCAGGACCTGTTAGAGGTCTCCCAAGTAGCTGGGACCACAGGCATGAGCTACTGCACCCAGCCAATTAGTTCTATTTTTGTTGGTGTCACCTCTCCTACATTATCATTCAGAAAGCTAGTAGGTGGCCGTGTTTGGAAAAATAATGGTTTTGAAATATTAACAGTTTTCTCCTTGTTTTTTCTTTAATTTTTTATCCTTTCCTCTGTTTCAGCAGCTAGATGATTCTGTTCTCATTTTTGCAGGTAAAAAACATGACAGCAGATGGGCAGGAAGCAGAGGAGAGGTCTTTTCCTGGGTTTCAAAGGTTATACCCTGAGGCAACAGAAAGGGCCAATGTCCCCTACTCAGCTTCTCCTGCCAGACTAGAAGTCAGAGGAAAAATGATGAAAGAGAGAAGTCTGTGGTGACTAGAACTGAGGATGCAGCATGGTTGGTGTTGACTGATGGCCTGTGAGTAATTTGAATCCCCATATCTCAGGGCAAAGCTGACAACTTGCTCCTCAGTCCTGGTGCAAATCTCTTTCGACAGCAGCTACCACATCATCCCTAGAATGCCCAGGTAAGAGATGCCTGCATCTGTGTAACATTCCCAGCAATGACACAAGAGACTTGTGAACCCCAGAGAAGGTTGAGGATCTGCATCACTAGCACTTGGTGGTGTTGAATAAAACTAGCTTGAGCTTCTTTATGACTAGGGTTAGCAGCAAATTACAGTTCTCTTATAGGGGCAAATGCTTGCGGACAAATTGGATTGTTGTGAAGGCTGTTCATTAAGATTGTTGAATCAATGAGATAGAGAATAAAAATGATAGAAAATTCATATAATGGCCCAGTGGAAGGAACACAGAGCATAAATCAGGTAAGTCAGTTACTATGCCTAACTTCTCATCTGTAAAATCTGACAACAAGAGCTTTATACCCCTTAGAATGGTAGTTTGGTGATGATATACCTAAAAGTATATTGAAAATTTAACAGCAATACAATACTAAGTATCACTTTAGACAGAGATCAAATATGTGTCCTGTTTACCTATTCTTAATTCAACAAACATAAATAGAGTATAGCCACCAAGTTTGAGCAGAATATCAAAAGCATATTTTCACAAGGAAGCCCATTATTACTATTGTAGCATGAGAGAAATTATATCGTTTGCCTCTCCAAGTGATTATGCCTGAGAAAGGTCACTTGAATGCTACATATTCATTCTAAATACTTCTCTGCTGTTTAATTTGCAATTCAAACCTAGTGCCTACTTGTAAACACTGATTAAGCCCCTGTGAGTACCACAGCAAGCTTGTCACTTACAAAGCAAGTTATGAGACCTTGTTCTGTCACCCAAGAGCATTCAATATGACCATGACTGAGTGCAGATTTTAACAGTAGAGGATGTCTACAAGTCTAAACTTGAATAATATTATGATGCCTCATGGAAGAGTAGACTATACATTTTTAGAAGCAATGGTTCTCATTGAAAAAGAAAGTAGGGAGGAGAGAAATTGCCTTACACAATGATTCCAATAAATAAACATTGAAGGAATAAGTAAAATAGAAAATCATCATTAGGCAAATATAATTGCTGCAGGCAAGGCCCAGATGGATGTTAAAATTAATGAGTGTTTGAGGTGAAACCAGATGTATGCATGATCTTAAAAGGTAAGTTGGGTGAAGTGTGTATGGGGATTCTCTGAACCCTTTTCTTGCAACTTTTATGTAAGTCTGAAGTCATTTCAAAATTTTAAAAACCCAAAAATATGGATGAAATTTGTTTGTTAAGTTTCCTTATCTAAAACATTTATTCGGTTTTAAAATTCTACTCTTACACTTATGCTTCATTCCTAATGTACAGTAGCATTCGACTTCCTTATAAAAATCTTCCAAATAAAAATCTTCCAAAATTATTTCTATCTTTGCTTTCAAGTTTTCCTCAAGTGCCTTCTAGAACTGTAGAGGACTGTAAGCATTCAGCCAAGAGGTATGTCTTAAGTGACTACCATTTTTATAGAAATATGCTAACAATTGCAAGGGACCAAAAAAACATGCAGGATCCAGTCCCTCCCTTGGGAAGATAAATATGTTGGGAAGACAAGAGGTACACAGATAAATGAATGAAATAGTGTCTTGTAAAATTATGTGATGCCATGCTTTATTTTCATAGTATTGGTTATAAGAATTAATGGAGACAGAGAAAAGTGAAACATGAGTGCTATAGTTTAGATATTTGACCCTCCAAACCTCATATTGAAATTTGATCCCCAATGTTGAAGGCAGGGCCTAGTGGAAGGTGTTTGGGTTGTGGGAGTGGATTGCTCATGAATGGCTTGGTGCCATCCTCATGGTAATAGTGAGTTCTCACTTTATTAATTCCTGGGAGAATTTCCTGAGAGCTGGTTGTTAAAAAGACCCTGGCCCCTTCCCTCTCTTTTGTCTTCTCTCTCATCATGGGACCACTGTACACTCTGGCTCCCCTTCATCTTCCATAATGAGTGGAAGCAGCGGAGGCCCTCACCAGAAGCAGATGCTGGTGCCATGCTTGTTGTACTGCCTGCAGAACTGTGAGCCAAATGAACCTCTTTATCAATTATCCAGCCTCAGGTATTCCTGTATAGCAAAACAAATGGACCAAGACAATGAGTAAATAAGAGTAAGCTGGACCTAAAAACATATGTAGGTCTTAGATGGTGAGTGGATGCCGGGAGAATCTGTACAGGCTTTGTGGGGAATTAGAGAGGGACGGGAAGCAGTTGTGAGATGCATCTGAGTGGGGTGGAAAGCTTGAGGAGATGAGGAGAATGGGCCCATATAGAGTTGGCCTGGATCACAGAAGGCTGCAAAAGCCAGACTGAAGAGCCCAAATTTGGTCCAAGTGAAAACAGAGGCTATTTTAAAGGCTGTTAGGGGCAAGTTACTTCTCTGGCACCAATATAAACATGCACAATATATCTCAAGCCAAAACCAGCTTCATTTTTGAAAATTTAATGATGGACCTTTCCAAGACCTTTTCTGAAATGTAAATCAGATTGTCTTCAACTTCTCCACTCCACCCCACCCTCTTTTTGCCTAACATACACTACAAGTCGCCTTTTACTCACAAGATAAAGACCAAAGGCATTAACAGCCTCAGGATCCTTCAAGGTTGGATGCTTCCCCATTTATCTGTCCTTCTCTGTACCCTATTCCCCTCAAGGCCTGCCTTCTTTTGTTACTTTCAGCATTCTCTTCTCTTACCAGGTGTTAGCAAATAATTTTCTCTCTGAATTAAAATTTCTCCTTATCTTTTGACTTGTATACTCCTTTTCATCCCTCTGATGTCAGCTCTCTCCCCCAATTACCATCTCCAGTGGGGAATTTTTGCTCCCTTCTCTGACCGGATCTACTGACAGCACCAAGAACATCATCTTGTAAAACTTTCCATATACATCATTGAAGATTATTTGAATTAATTATGTGATTATTTGATTAAGACCTTTTCCCTTTATTAGACTGTAGACTTCTGAGGGCAGATAGTTTATTTGTGTTTCCCATTTTTATCTCAATCCCTAGCATATGGCAGATACTCAATAAGGATTTATTGAATAAATTAAAAAATGAAACATTCATTTTCTCCACTCCCAAGACACTATCCTGTCCCAATGACATGATCTTCTAAATCATAAGAAAAATGTCCTATCTAAACAACAGTATATATAACCTAGTATTTTGTAACTTTTGGAATGTAAGCTGTAACAGTAGTATTCAATTTAAGTTTTAAAAGTTTGCTATTTTACTAATGAATCAATTCATTTCGACTTTCTGAATTTTTAAAAACAAAAATAGTATCTAGAAGATATTTGATAGATGGAATCTGTTAGCATTTGGGGCAATTAAACTGGGTTTCTAAAAAGTGGATCAGATGATTACATCAAACTAAATTAGTAGAGCTTAAATAGCACAGGGTGATCAATAGATCAATATCTATGTGCAGGGCACTTTACTTGGCACTTTGACTTATTCTAAGCTAAATAATAGATGGTTCCTGTCTGGCTTATAATCAAGTAGGGGATGTAGATGTACACAGAACTATGTGTATTCTATGGTAGACTATGAATGCTCTAAGTATTACAGAAATATGAAAGGGGGAGGATTTATTTTAACTAAAAGAATCTGGCAAAGTTACAGGAAAAAGTAATATTTGAGCCAGGAAAGAAGGAGGTGCTTTTGACAGCCAGACTTTGGGAGGACAAAAATTCCAAGAAAATAACAACTGAAAACACAAAGCATGAAAAGGATAAAGTACCATGATAGAAATTCTAGAGGTGGAGCAGGGCTAGACCAAAAGGTGGGTAGTTGCAAGTATGCTGCGATAAGGAGGAATCTAAGAAAGTCAGGTTGGAACTGATAATAGGCCATGCTGCCTGCACATATTTGATGGGTAATGAACAGTTACAAGCATGATGGACAGGGAAGCACTACAATCAAATGTGTGGAGATATGAGGGAACAGATTGCGAGGGTGCTCCAGGGATTAAAGTGGGTAGGATGATTAGAGGCAAGGGGAAGCAAATTTTGTGAAGGCTGAGGAATGCTAAGGAAGACCTGGGTCAGTAGCAGTGAAATGAGCAGCAGATGAATGAGAGAAGCATCCAGGAAGTGAACAGAATGTGATTTAATAAGCACTTAACATGAGGACTGAGGAATATAAAGCTGAAAAGTTTTCATTTCATAAATTAACTGAGCATGACTTAATTGAGAGCAAAAATAGGAACAGGTTAGTAGCAATAACTCATTTCTCATTGTTTTAGACCTGCTGGTAATAGTAATATTGTTAATGTCATCCACATCTTTTGATGATAAAGAATTACATCATTTGCATTTTACATGATCTAATTATACCATTTGCATTTTATATGATTTGATAAGTGTTGATACTTGCCAGCTGTTGAGACTTCTCTGATTTAAAATGGAGCAGAATTTATTGATATTTATTCTTTTGAGTGCCTCGTCTTCATCTCTTCATTTTTCTAGTTGTCTAATTTTATGTATAGGAAAACATGGTTATGATTTACATGTGGGTAATTCTTTCTTTCTGTTGACTGTGACTCTCTTGCTTCCATTACTCCCTAAGCAATTCACCTCAACACACACTGACTAAATAAATATCTACCCTGTATCCTGGGAGTCTTAGATGATTAATGCACTATCTCCGTCCTCAAGGAACCAATACAGTTGTTGGTAGAACTTAAGCCCAATTAAATATAACATAATATGGAGAATGTCATGATAATATCAACAACAAAAGCTACCACTTAAATCTCCTGTTCATTCATTCTTTCCTTCCTTTAACAAATACTTTGAGAGCCTCTGCTAGATCTTTGCCCAGACGCAGGATTTACAGTGGTGAACAAACCTCATCCATAAAGTGCCCTTTTGGAGCTTATGCTAGTGGAGGAATCTTACTCTAACCAAATAAAAAAACAAATAAATAGATGTAATTAATGTGTAAATACAATTAATATTATGAAACAATAATAATAACAATAGACATATTTAGAGATTAGTATATTCTAAGTCAGGCATTCTGGTTCCAGAGCTGATCACTTGATAATTACATTATGTTACGATTTTAGAAAATGTATTTTCTAAGATGGGGGTATCTATATATATAGTGTAATATGCAAAGACTTGTCTAAAAAGATAATGTTTAGCCAAGACTAATGGACAAAAAGGCAAAATATACACAAAGATTCAGGAACTGAGTATTTCAGGCAGATTAAATAGCACATGTAAAGGTTCTAAGATAGAAAAGAACTTGGCATTTTCTAGAAATAATAAAACAGGTTAGTTTGAGCTGATCATAGTAAACTGTAAGAGAAAAGGATTTGGAAGATATTGGAGAAATAAACAGGAACCAAACCATTAGTCTTCTAATACTCAAAAAAAATCTGACTTTTATTTTAAAAGAAATAAGAAAGTATCAAGATTGTATAAACAGGAATAGTGATAATATCCTATTTACATTTAAAAAGTATCAGTCTGGCTCCTGTATGGAAAATGGGCTAGCAAGTGCAAAAGAGGAAATTAAAAAGCTAGTAAGTGGCCAGGAACAGTGGCTCACACCTGTAATCCCAGCACTTTGGGAGGCCAAGACAGTATGATCCCTTGAGCCCAGAAGTTTGAGACCAACCAGGGCAACATGGCGAGACCCCATCTCTGCAAAAAATAAAACATTAGCTGGGCATGGTGGCATGTGCCTGTAGTCCCAGCTTCTTGGGAGGCTGAGGTGGGAAGATTGCTTGAATCTAGGAGGTTGGTGCTGCAGTGAGCCATGATCTCACCACTGTACTCCTGCCTGGGCAACAAAGCAACACTCTGTCTCAAAAATTAAAAAAAAAATTAATAAATAAATGGCTAGTAAGTAACACAATCAGAATTTAGTTTAAAAGCCCTGTGACTATAAACTCAAGACTTGTACTGCCACATTATGCTGTCCCCTGCATTGTAGTAGATTTTCAAACTTGCAGAGGGGACTGTCCTACCAGATAGCAGTGATTCATAAGTTGTATCTCTTCTTGTCCCCTCCCTGCCTCTGTGATTCCCACTTGACCCCCACTTGCTCTTTTGTTAGGTCATAGGACAGGAACATAGTCAAAGCTTTTCATAACAAAAGAAGAAATAAATGATGGATATTAATGTCATTTTTAGTTTATCTTTATGCTCCCTTGAACATGTAGCTTCCCATCTCTAGTACATTGGCTTATAGTAGTTGTTTTTAAACTATATAACTTAAAGTCATTTTTACTGTACATAATTAAGTACCTCATATGGGGTGGGGTGTTTGATCATAATGCAATGCATGGGTGTCACCCCCAGAGATTCTAATTCATTATATCTGAATTGGGGCATTTTAAATAAGTACTTCAGGTAACTCTGAAGCAGATGATCTGAAGGCTGCAGTTTGCAAGACACTGGTTTACGATGGAGAGCTTTTAGATTCTATCCCAAGCATAGTATGATGACTTGGACATATCTATTCTATCAAAATCATCAGCATTAGAAACCATCGATTGCATGTAACCTCAGAATTTAATAGCCTGTATATTTTTTGTAGACTTCTTTCTCCAGTGCAATATAATACAATACACAGATGATCAATTTGGTCTCTTTCTTAAGGCAAGAGACAAAAGAATTTACGTAAACAATTTCCTGACAGGTCATTCCCAATGTGGGCTAAATATATCATACAGATTAATGGTAGAAGGGTTTTTTCAGCTGAGTAGAAACAGAATATTGCCTTCCCAATATTAATACAGTGTTACATATAAAACCCAAATAATTATTGCACAATAACTCTTTTGGAGGTTGTTTTATAATACGTAAACACTTACAAAAAAGTAAATAATAAATGAAAGTGAAACCAAGTTCTTTACTCCGGTTCTTGCACAAAATAATTACTAGCCTTTGTAAGTGGTTATTTAAAAGGGAATAATAATAGCCAATAAGATAAGTCACAATTATAAATCATTTAAAAAATCAGCACCCTAATTATATTTTGGAATTATGTTCTAGAGAATACTCTTCAATGTAGTAATCACCCAGCTGGCTTCTTATAGCTGTGCCTTTTATAAGAGTTGACCATATTAGTGATTTTCCTGCCACATCAAGTCCCCATCTTGGTTAATACTATGCATAATCAGGCCCTAGGATATCTAGTTCTTCTAAAATGTATTGACTTTTTATTTTTTTGCATCTGCCTAAATTATTCTGCATCTTGCATTCCCTGAATGAACCAAGTAATGTTCAAGACATGTGTTGTATTTGTTCAATCCAGTTCTAAATTTGTGTCAGCTCCAGTTGGCCTTTTGAAAAGGGCATTCCCCTCAAAATCCTAATAGTCTCAGATACAACAAGTATGTAATAACTGAAAGACATCTCAGTAATACTCTATAGAGGCAGGATTTTATTAATCAAATTTCCATATGATTTCAATAATTATTCCTTTATCTCATAAAATAAGTATTTATTGATCCCCTAATAAGTGCCAGGCTTTGGGGCTGCAGAGGTAAAAAAGAAAATGTTGTGCTTCTGGAACTTGGAACTTAAACTCTAGAAAGTGAGACTTATACAGAAAAGCAAGTATAACATGATGGACAGATAAGTGCAATGCAGAAAAATTAAGAAGAGTAAGGAAATAAAATGTGATAAAGAGTGGTCAGGGATGCCCTCTCTAAAGGTGACAACATATATGCAGACTCTTGAAGTAAGGGGTGACTTATTCAATTATCTAGGGGTAAAGGACTCCTGACAGAGGAAATAGCAAATTTAAAAGCACTGAATAGGAACAATCATTGGCATATTTGAGGATCAGAAAGGAGAACAACAAGAAGGAAATTAATAGAAGATGGGATTGGAGAAACAGCAGGAAGAAGGTTACACAGGGCCTCAAACAGCGTTGGTGAGTAAGGACTCAGAGTAATATGAGAATGTGGTAGATTAAAAATGGCCAATAATTATTTGTTACTCTTTCCATTGAAAGGTGGCATTTAATTCCCTTTTCTTGAATTTGGCATGGCTGTGGTGACTTGTTTAGTCAATAAAATGTGCAAAAGTGATGTTCTGTGGTAATAACGGGTCATAAAAAGCCCTGCAGCTTCTGCCTAGACATGTTGGGATCTACCAACTACCATGTAAAAAGTGAGTCTACCCTGAGACCACGATGCTATGAGGAAGTCAAAGATATTCATTTAGAGAGCTATATAGAAAGAGAAACAAAGGTGTCCAGCCAGCCCCAGCTGTTCCATCCATTCCAGCCTAATTGTCAGATATGAGTGAAGAAGTCACTCACGTGGACAATCCAGCATCAGCAGATATCATATAAAGGAAAGCTCAGGCACTAGACATGTATGATCCTAGTAGGGCTATTCCAACTGCTGCTAGTCATTCAAATAACCTCTGCTGAGGCTCACTGGGGAGCAGAGATGGTTAATCTCCATTGTGCCTTTTATACTTTCTTGATCCACAAACTCATGAGAAGAGTAATGAGTTTGGGTTTTTTTTTAAATTTATATCTCTTTTATTGAACTTCTCATTTCATTCATATGCTATTCCTTTGATTTTGTTGAGTTGTCTATTTGTGTTCTCTTATCATTTGCTGATATTTCTTACCTCTGAGTATTGAGTGATCCATTATGCATCAATGGATAGCCTATAAGAAAAAAATTGAATAGCTGAGAGTAGAATTTAAACCTGAATTATGTTCTAAAAGGACCACTCTAGCTGCTGGGTTGGGCCTAGCTTTGTAACAGCGCAAGAATAAAGGCAGAATGATCAGTTAATTCAATTAAAAGTCCAGGCAAGAGTAAATAGTGGCTTGGATTAAAATAGTGGCATAAGAGGAAGTGAGAAATGGTTGAATTTGAGATATACTTTGAAGATAAATGATAACATTTGCTCAAAGTTACAGGTAATATTTTTATTTCAGTTTCAATTTTGAAAATATATCAATATGTCATATACTATACTCATGCAGAAATGCCTGGAACATATAAACAATGTGAAGACTCTTAAATAAATGAATGCATACTGAATCTTTCTTTGATTCAGAACCTGTGTTTATGTCTGGCTAGTCATTATGAGCATCAGATAAATATTGTATTTTCATTGTAGAAATTTGTATTGACTAAGGGCATGCCTAGAGCTTTTGGTATGCCTCTGTTTTTCCACAGAACTTATTTATTATTATTTTTAGCTCTTTTGCCAAATAATTATGAAGAATATTCTATAGCTATGTTGCTAGCTGTGAGAAAAAGTTGGCATAGTCTCTTTTGATGAAAGATGGAATTTTCTTATTGAAGGTAGACTTTTAACACATAATCACACAAATAACTAGGACAAATGCTACAGCCACAGCAAGGGCTGTAATAGAATTTGATTTAACAAGGATGAAAAAGGTTATCTTGAAGAAATTGGGTTAGTTGAGAGTTAATGTAAAGAGAAGTGGAAGAGTACTCTAAGCAGACAAAAAAAGCAAGTGCAAATGCTCTGTAGTGTCTAGAATATGATATACTAGTGAAACTCAAAGAAGACCTCTTCCTTCCCACTGTGCAATTTGTTTTCCGTACTGGAACTAGAATGATCTTTTACAAATCTGAACCTGCAAGCTCTCTCTTGCTTCTAAAAATCCTAGGATGGCTTATCTTCTCAAAGTGTAACACAGATAGTGATTCCATTTACTGTGCAGAAGCACTGGAGAAGATAAGGCTTGGGAAGAAAAAAAATGAATTAGGTTTTGGACATACTTTGTTTAATGTGCCTTTGAGACATGCTAATGGAGATGCCAAGAAGTGAATTAGATATATTGCTAGGGAAGTCTGGCTGCAGATGAGTAAGCTATCATTCTATAGGAGGTATTCAAAGCCATGGCATGAATGAGAGCGCTCAAGGACTGATTAAAAATCAGAAGAGAAAGATAATGAAGTTTACCCCTTTAGAAACCTCAGGGGAGAAGAATATACATTTATAAAGGAGACAAAGAAGGAGTAGCTGGAGAGATGAGGAAAACCTGGGGACTATGGTACCATAAAAGCCATGAGGAGGAGTGATGTCAGTAAGATGGTGATCATCATTCTGTAGAAACATCAATCTTGATGAATACTCGTGAATGAAAGTACATTTTTGGGACAGTGATAATCCATTGGAGAAGTTCTAGCACACCATTGGAACAAAAAAATTTCAGAATAGATGCATTGAAGAAAGCAAGAAGAACAGTTTTATTTTATTTATGTCAACCCTCCTTGAAAGTAGTACAGCTCTGTGCCAAGAGAGAACCCCTTTGCCTGCAGTTTCTCCCATGGGAGAAGGTGAGAGTGCAATAAATGAGGAACCTGCTCCCCCAAACATGTGAATACTGCCCAAAAGGACTAATTCTTTTTTACCTCACCCAGAAAATGGAGATGATTGGCATAGCTGAGTTGTTGGGAGAGACTAGGATCAGGGAAGAGAGGCCCTAATATCTTCTCCACATACTCCATCATCAAGGAGCCCACCTATAAGTCACTTGGGGTGTCTCACCTATGGATATTCCTAATTGACCCAAGGGCACTCCAAATGCTATGTGTGCCTCATGCCCCCCTCCACCAAGTGAACTCCCCAATGCTTCCCCATGGACAGCGAGTGAAAGCATGCCTCATAAATAGCCAGTTCCACTCTGTGGGACTGAAAGAAAAAAACACAAACCTGAGAACTTTGAGGCTCTTTCCAAGGGAAAACAAATGTGAGGCTCTGAGCATCTGGCTTGGCTTTGTGAGATTGAGAAAATACATCAAATCTTAAAAATTTAATCCCCATCGTAAGAGGAAACAAAGGTATAAATCAAGTGCATCCATAGAAAATGTCTGAGAGGGTCTCAAAATCCCTAGTCAAGCTGATTGGTGAGGATGTTTCTTTCTTGAAGTCAGTCAGTAAAGTCAGCAATGCAAGATGTCAAGAAACAGACAGAAACGATCAAAGAAACATAACACCATCAAAAGAACAGTATAGTAGTCTAGTAACCAACTGTGAAAGAAGTGGAAATCAACAAATTGCCTGACAAAGAGTTCAAAATAATTATTTTAAAGAAACTCAGCAAATGATAAGAGAACACAAATAGACAACTCAACAAAATCAAAAGAATGGCATATGAATGAAATGAGAAGTTCAATAGAGGGATATAAATTTTAAAAAACCCAAACAGAAATTCGAATCTAGAGAATACAATTAATGAAATGAAAAAATGAAATAGAAAGCATCAATAGCAGGCCTGTTCAAGCAGAAGAAAGAATCTGTAAACCTGAAGATAAGTCTTTGAAAATACACAGTCAGAGAAGAAAAAAGAAAAAAAGAATGAAAAGAAATGAATAAAGTCTATGAAATTTATGGGACAGAATCAGATGCATTATAAATGTTTCAAAAGGAGTAGAATGAGAGCTAAAGGGAAAGAAAGATTATTTAAAGTAAAAACAGTTAAAAATGTCCCAAATCTGGGGACAGATGAAACCAGTTACCAGACACTCAAAGGTCTCAAATCAGGTTCAAACCAAAGAAGAATTAATGAACACATATTGTAATCAAATTGTCAAGAATCAAAGAATTTTGACAGAAGCAATATAAAAGAGGCTTACCACATACAAAGGAACCTAAATAAGACTATCAGTCGATTTCTCAGCAGAAACCATGCAGGCCAAGTGAGAGCAAGACAGTATTTTCAAAGTGCTGAAAGAAAAAAAATCTGTCAGGCCGGGTGCAGTGGCTCATGCCTGTAATCCCAGCACTTTGGGAGGCCAAGGTGGGTGGATCATGAGGTCAGGAATTTGAGACCAACCTGACTAAAATGGTGAAACCCCATCTCTACTAAAAATCCAAAAATTACCCAGGTGTGGTGGTGTGCACCTGTAATCCCAGCTACTCAGGAGGCTGAGAAAGGAGAATTGCTTGAACCTGGGAGGCGAAGGTTGCAGTGAGCTGATATCACACCACTGCACTCCAGCCTGGGCGACAGAGCTAGACTCCCTTTGAAAACCAGCACAGGACAAGGATGGCCTCTCTCACCCTCCTATTCAACATAGTGTTGGAAGTTCAGGTCAGGGCAATCAGGTAAGAGAAAGAAATAAAGGGTATTCAATAAGGAAAAGAGGAAGTCAAATTGTCTCTGTTTGCAGATGACATGATTGCATATTTAGAAAACCCCACTGTCTCAGCCCCAAATCTCCTTAAGCTGATAAGCAACTTCAGCGAAGTTTCAGCATACAAAATCAATGTGCAAAAATCACAAGCATTCTATACACGAATAATAGACAGAGAGCCAAATCATGAGTGAACTCCCATTCACAATTGCTACAAAGAGAATAAAATACCTAGGAATACAACTTACAAGGGATGTGAAGGACCTTTTCAAGGAGAACTACAAACCACTGCTCAAGAAAATAAGAGAGGGCACAAACAAATGGAAAAACATTCCATGCTCATGGATAAGAAGAATCAATATCGTGAAAATGGCCATACTGCCCAAAGTAATTCATAGATTCAATGCTATCCCCATCAAGCTACCATTGACTTTCTTCACAGAATTTGAAAAAAAGAACTATTTTAAATTTCATATGGAAACAAAAAAAAGAGCCCTCATAGCCAAGACAATCCTAAGCAAAAGAACAAAGCTGGATGCATCATACTACCTGACTTCAAACTATATTACAAGGCTACAGTAACCAAAACAGCATGGTACTAGTGCCAAAACATTTATATAGACCAATGGAACAGAACAGAGGCCTCAGAAATAATGCCACACATCTACAATTATCTGTTCTTTGACAAACCTGACAAAAACAGGCAATGGGGAAAACATTTCCTATTTAATAAATGGTGTTGGGAAAACTGGCTAGCCATATGCAGAAAGCTGAAACTGGACCCCTTCCTTACACCTTACACAAAAATTAACTCAAGATGGATGAAAGACATAAACTAACTTAAGACCTTAAACCATAAAAACCCTAGAAGAAAACCTAGGCAATACCATTCAGGATATAGGCATGGGCAAAGACTTCATGACTAAAACACTAAAAGCAATGGCAACAAAAGCCAAAATAGACAAATGGGATCTAATTAAACTAAATAGCTTCTGCACAACAAAAGAAATTATCATCAGACTGAACAGGAAACCTACAGAATGGGAGAAAATTTTTGCAATCTATCCATCTGACAAAGGGCTAATATCCAGAATCTACAAAGAATTTAAACAAATTTACAAGAAAAAGCAAACAACCCCATCAAAAAGTGGGCAAAGGATATAAACAGATACTTCTCAAAAGAAGACATTTATGCAGCCAACAAACATATGAAAGGAAGCTCATCATCACTGGTCAACAGAGAAATGCAAATCAAAACCACAATGAGATACCATCTCATGCCAGTTAGAATGGCAATCATTAAAAAGTCAGGAAACAACAGTTGCTGGAGAGGATGTGGAGAAATAGGCATGCTTTTACACTGTTGGTGGGAGTGTAAATTAGTTTAACCATTGTGGAAGACAGTGTGGCAATTCCTCAAGGATCTAGAACTAGAATTACCATTTGACCCAGCAACCCCATTACTGGGTATATACCCAAAGGATTATAAATCATTCTACTGTAAAGACACATGCACACATATGTTTATTGTGGCACTATTCACAACAGCAAGGACTTGGAATCAACCCAAATGTCCATCAATGATAGATCGGATAAAGAAAATGTGGCACATATACACCATGGAATAAATACTATGCAGCCACAAAAAGGGATGAGTTCATGTCCTTTGCAAGGACATGGATGAAGCTGGAAACCATCATTCTCAGCAAAGTAACACAAGAAGAGAAAACCAAACACCACATGTTCTCACTCATAAGTGGGGGTTGAACAATGAGACACATGGACACAGGAAGGGGAACATCACACACCGGGGCCTGTCACGGATTGGGGGGCTAGGAGAGAGATAGCATTAAGAGAAATACCTCATGTATATGACGGGTTGATGAGTGCAACAAACCACTATGGCATGTGTACACCTATGTAACAAACCTCCACGTTCTGCACATGTAC